>NC_000012.12:71096491-71248006 GCF_000001405.40 Homo sapiens
GGCTTTCTTTTGCAAATATGTATAAGCAAATATATGTAAGCACATAAGCAAATATATATACATGTTATTTCT
This sequence comes from Homo sapiens, assembly GCF_000001405.40. Classification (NCBI taxonomy): domain Eukaryota; kingdom Metazoa; phylum Chordata; class Mammalia; order Primates; family Hominidae; genus Homo; species Homo sapiens. The sequence continues at coordinate 71,096,564 of NC_000012.12, forward strand.
CTTTGTTTCTTACACACAAAAATAGCATATTATAATATTGATTGATATTTTCCTTAACAATATAGCCTAGATATCAGTCCACACCAGCTCATAAAGATACTCCTCATTCTTTTCTACAAATGCATAGTACCCCAATGATGGACCATCATTTAGTCCCTTACTTGTGAACATTTGGGTCATTTCCAATATATTGCTATCACAAATAACACTGCAATGAAAAAATATTGCATTTATTTCATATTTGTGGAGGTGCAGCTGCAAAGTAGATTCCTAGACATTGAGATTGCAAAATGAAAGGGGAATTGGATGTGTAGTTTTGCTAGTGGTTTCTTCATCCTCTTCCATAGAGATTAAACCATTCTGCAATCCAATCAGTATTCTATTAAAGGGACTATTTTCTATAGTCTTTCCAACAAAACATATCTTCAAGCATGTGGATGTCTGTTAATCTGGGAAGTCAGGAATGATATCTCAGTGTAGTTTTAATTTATAATTATCTTTTTTTGAGGGTTATTTGCATTTCTTTGTTTCTGTAGAGATGAGACCTCATCTACATTATGTTGTCCAGGCTGGTCTCAAACTCCTTGCCTCAAGCAATCCTCCCACCTTGGCTTCCCAGAGTGCTGAGATTACAAGCTTGAGCCACCACACCAAGCCAATTATTTGCATTTCTTTTCCATGAACTATCTTTATGTTTTCTTCCTCACTTTTATATTGGGTTTTTGGACCTTTTCTTCTTGATTGTAAATAGCCCTTTATATATGAAGGAAATTAGCCCTTGGAGTTACAAATATTTTCTATTAGTTGGTCCTTCATCTTTTGACTTTCCGTATAGTAGTTTAGATTTTTATGCTACTTTTAATACACACAATAATATGGTTATATCTCATGCAAACATTTGTTATTTTGTGGAATTAAATTTATTAATTTTTTATTGCTTCTTTATCTTATGAAATAATTTAGTAGTTTTACTTAGCTTCCAGATTATAAAAGAATTCAATGTTTCTTTTTACCATTTGTATGATTTATTTTCTCTAATTCATTTAGATTTCATCATTATACTGTGCAAAGTATGAATACAATTTTTTCTTTTTCAAATTCTATTTAGTTGCTTTAACATTATTTATTGCACCTCATGTATCCCCATGATTTAAGATGCCACTTTTACCATAAACAAAATTTTTAGGTGGCTTTGAGTCTATTTATAAAATTTTTTATCTATTTATTCCTCAATGTCATATTGTTTTAAGTATAGAGGCTTTAGAATATGTTTTTAATATCTGATAGCACTAATACATGAGTAGCCTTGGACTGGACATTGCATCATTGGCTCCTCTGGTCCTCAGGCCTCTGGACTTAAGACGAATTACACTACCAGCTTTTTTGATTCTACAGTTTGCAGGTGACATATTGTGGGACTTCTCAGCCTTCATAATTACATAAGCCAATTCCTATAATAAATCTCCTCCTATATATCTCTATATAACCTACTGGGTCTGTTTCTCTAGAAAATCCTAATATACCATCATTGATTATATTAGCTTTAGCATTGGTTTTTCTAGGTTTCCCCACTGAGTAAAATATCAAATTGGGGTCTGATGTATGTGTTGAGTATCCATAGATTTTTATTTTATTAATTATTTTTTGTTTTTTCAGGAATAGGTGTTTAATTTCATTCAAAGCATTTTGGTGTCTATGAAGATAATTAAATAATTCTTCTCATTATTCTATTTGTATATTAGATATATTTATGTTTATATATATGTAATGTGTGTGCATTTATATCTTTGTGACTTAAAGTGTGTGTGTGCGGCAGGGTATTCCAACAGACCTGCAGCTGAGGGTCCTGTCTGTTAGAAGGAAAACTAACAAACAGAAAGGACATCCACACCAAAAACCCATCTGTACATCACCATCATCAAAGACCAAAAGTAGATAAAACCACAAAGATGGGGAAAAAACAGAACACAAAAACTGGAAACTCTAAAACGCAGAGTGCCTCCCCTCTTCCAAAGGAATGCAGTTCCTCACCAGCAACGGAACAAAGCTGGATGGAGAATGACTTTGACGAGCTGAGAGAAGAAGGCTTCAGACGATCAAATTACTCTGAGCTACGGGAGGACATTCAAACCAAAGGCAAAGAAGTTGAAAACTTTGAAAAAAATTTTAGAAGAATGTATAACTAGAATAACCAATACAGAGAAGTGCTTAAAGGAGCTGATGGAGCTGAAAACCAAGGCTCGAGAACTACGTGGAGAATGCAGAAGCCTCAGGAGCCGATGCGATCAACTGGAAGAAAGGGTATCAGCAATGGAAGATGAAATGAATGAAATGAAGCGAGAAGGGAAGTTTAGAGAAAAAAGAATAAAAAGAAATGAGCAAAGCCTCCAAGAAATATGGGACTATGTGAAAAGACCAAATCTACGTCTGATTGGTGTACCTGAAAGTGATGGGGAGAATGGAACCAAGTTGGAAAACACTCTGCAGGATATTATCCAGGAGAACTTCCCCAATCTAGCAAGGCAGGCCAACGTTCAGATTCAGGAAATACAGAGAATGCCACAAAGATACTCCTCGAGAAGAGCAACTCCAAGACACATAATTGTCAGATTCACCAAAGTTGAAATGAAGGAAAAAATGTTAAGGGCAGCCAGAGAGAAAGGTCAGGCTACCCTCAAAGGGAAGCCCATCAGACTAACAGCGGATCTCTTGGCAGAAACCCTACAAGCCAGAAGAGAGTGGGGGCCAATATTCAACATTCTTAAAGAAAAGAATTTTCAACCCAGAATTTCATATCCAGCCAAACTAAGCTTCATAAGTGAAGGAGAAATAAAATTCTTTACAGACAAGCAAATGCTGAGAGATTTTGTCACCACCAGGCCTGCCCTAAAAGAGCTCCTGAAGGAAGCACTAAACATGGAAAGGAACAACCGGTACCAGCCGCTGCAAAATCATGCCAAAATGTAAAGACCATCGAGACTAGGAAGAAACTGCATCAACTAACAAGCAAAATAACCAGCTAACATCATAATGACAGGATCAAATTCACACATAACAATATTAACTTTACATGTAAATGGACTAAATGCTCCAATTAAAAGACACAGACTGGCAAATTGGATAAAGAGTCAAGACCCATCAGTGTGCTGTATTCAGGAAACCCATCTCACGTGCAGAGACCCACATAGGCTCAAAATAAAAGGATGGAGGAAGATCTACCAAGAAAATGGAAAACAAAAAAAGGCAGGGGTTGCAATCCTAGTCTCTGATAAAACAGACTTTAAACCAACAAAGATCAAAAGAGACAAAGAAGGCCCTTACATAATGGTAAAGGGATCAATTCAACGAGAAGAGCTAACTATCCTAAATATATATGCACCCAATACAGGAGCACCCAGATTCATAAAGCAAGTCCTGAGTGACCTACAAAGAGACTTAGACTCCCACACATTAATAATGGGAGACTTTAACACCCCACTGTCAACATTAGACAGATCAATGAGACAGAAAGTCAGCAAGGATACCCAGGAATTGAACTCAGCTCTGCACCAAGCAGTCCTAATAGACATCTACAGAACTCTCCAGCCCAAATCAAGAGAATATACATTTTTTTCAGCACCACACCACACCTATTCCAAAATTGACCACATACTTGGAAGTAAAGCTCTCCTCAGCAAATGTAAAAGAACAGAGATGATAACAAACTATCTCTCAGACCACAGTGCAATCAAACTAGAACTCAGGATTAAGAATCTCACTCAAAACCACTCAACTACATGGAAACTGAACAACCTGCTCCTGAATGACTACTGGATACATAACGAAATGAAGGCAGAAATAAAGATGTTCTTTGAAACCAACGAGAACAAAGACACAACATACCAGAATCTTTGGGATGCATTCAAAGCAGTGTGTAGAGGGAAATTTACAGCACTAAATGCCCACAAGAGAAAGCAGGAAAGATCCAAAATTGACACCCTAACATCACAATTAAAAGAACTAGAAAAGCAAGAGCAAACACATTCAAAAGCTAGCAGAAGGCAAGAAATAACTAAAATCAGAGCAGAACTGAAGGAAATAGAGACACAAAAAACTCTTCAAAAAATTAATGAATCCAGGAGCTGGTTTTCTGAAAGGATCAACAAAATTGATAGACCGCTAGCAAGACTAATAAAGAAAAAAAGACAGAAGAATCAAATAGACGCAATAAAAAATGATAAAGGGGATATTACCACTGATCCCACAGAAATACAAACTACCATCAGAGCATACTACAAACACCTCTACACAAATAAACTAGAAAAATAAAGAAGAAATGGATAAATTCCTCGACACATACACTCTCCCAAGACTAAACCAGGAAGAAGTTGAATCTCTGAATAGACCAATAACAGGAGCTGAAAATTGTGGCAATAATCAATAGTTTACCAACCAAAAAGAGTCCAGGACCAGATGGATTCACAGCCGAATTCTATCAGAGGTACAAGGAGGAACTGGTACCATTCCTTCTGAAACTATTCCAATCAATAGAAAAAGAGGGAATCCTCCCTAACTCATTTTATGAGGCCAGCATCATTCTGATACCAAAGCCGGGCAGAGACACAACCAAAAAAGAGAATTTTAGACCAATATCCTTGATGAACATTGATGCAAAAATCCTCAATAAAATACTGGCAAAATGAATCCAGCAGCACATCAAAAAGCTTATCCACCATGATCAAGTGGGCTTCATCCCTGGGATGCAAGGCTGGTTCAATATATGCAAATCAATAAATGTAATCCAGCATATAAACAGAGCCAAAGACAAAAACCACATGATTATCTCAATAGATGCAGAAAAAGCCTTTGATAAAATTCAACAACCCTTCATGCTAAAAACTCTCAATAAATTAGGTATTGATGGGACGTATTTCAACATAATAAGAGCTATCTATGACAAACCCACAGCCAATATCATACTGAATGGGCAAAAACTGGAAGCATTCCCTTTGAAAACTGGCACAAGACAGGGATGCCCTCTCTCACCACTCCTATTCAACATAGTGTTGGAAGTTCCGGCCAGGGCAATTAGGCAGGAGAAGGAAATAAAGGGTATTCAATTAGGAAAAGAGGAAGTCAAATTGTCCCTGTTTGCAGACGACATGACTGTATATCTAGAAAACCCCATTGTCTCAGCCCAAAATCTCCTTAAGCTGATAAGCAATTTCAGCAAAGTCTCAGGATACAAAATCAATGTACAAAAATCACAAGCATTCTTATACACCAACAACAGACAAACAGAGAGCCAAATCACGAGTGAACTCCCATTCACAATTGCTTCAAAGAGAATAAAATACCTAGGAATCCACCTTACAAGGGATGTGAAGGACCTCTTCAAGGAGAACTACAAACCACTGCTCGAGGAAATAAAAGAGGATACAAACAAATGGAAGAACATTCCATGCTCATGGGTAGGAAGAATCAATATCATGAAAATGGCCATACTGCCCAAGGTAATTTACAGATTCAATGCCATCCCCATCAAGCTACCAATGACTTTCTTCACAGAATTGGAAAAAACTACTTTAAAGTTCATATGGAACCAAAAAAGAGCCCGCATCGCCAAGGCAATCCTAAGCCAAAAGAACAAAGCTGGAGGCATCACACTACCTGACTTCAAACTATACTACAAGCCTACAGTAACCAAAACAGCATGGTACTGGTACCAAAACAGAGATATAGATCAATGGAACAGAACAGAGCCCTCAGAAATAACGCCGCATATCTACAACTATCTGATCTTTGACGAACCTGAGAAAAACAAGCAATGGGGAAAGGATTCCCTATTTAATAAATGGTGCTGGGAAAACTGGCTAGCCATATGTAGAAAGCTGAAACTGGATCCCTTCCTTACACCTTATACAAAAATCAATTCAAGATGGATTAAAGACTTAAACGTTAGACCTAAAACCATAAAAACCCTAGAAGAAAACCTAGGCAGTACCATTCAGGACATAGGCATGGGCAAGGACTTCATGTCCAAAACACCAAAAGCAATGGCAACAAAAGACAAAATTGACAAATGGGATCTAATTAAACTAAAGAGCTTCTGCACAGCAAAAGAAACTACCATCAGAGTGAACAGGAAACCTACAAAATGGGAGAAAATTTTCGCAACCTACTCATCTGACAAAGGGCTAATATCCAGAATCTACAATGAACTCAAACAAATTTACAAGAAAAAAACAAACAACCCCATCAAAAAGTGGGCAAAGGACATGAACAGACACTTCTCAAATGAAGACATTTATGCAGCCAAAAAACACATGAAAAAATGCTCATCATCACTGGCCATCAGAGAAATGCAAATCAAAACCACAATGAGATACCATCTCACACCAGTTAGAATGGCAATCATTAAAAAGTCAGGAAACAACAGGTGCTGGAGAGGATGTGGAGAAATAGGAACACTTTTACACTGTTGGTGGGACTGTAAACTAGTTCAACCATTGTGGAAGTCAGTGTGGTGATTCCTCAGGGATCTAGAACTAGAAATACCATTTGACCCAGCCATCCCATTACTGGGTATATACCCAAAGGACTATAAATCATGCTGCTATAAAGACACATGCACACGTATGTTTATTGCGGCATTATTCACAATAGCAAAGACTTGGAACCAACCCAAATGTCCAACAATGATAAACTGGATTAAGAAAATGTGGCACATATACACCATGGAATACTCTGCAGCCATAAAAAAGGATGAGTTCATGTCCTTTGTAGGGACATGGATGAAATTGGAAATCATCATTCTCAGTAAACTATCGCAAGAATAAAAAACCAAACACCGCATATTCTCACTCATAGGTGGGAATTGAACAATGAGATCACATGGACACAGGAAGAGGAATATCACACTCTGGGGACTGTGGTGGGGTGGGGGGAGGGGGGAGGGATAGCATTGGGAGATATACCTAATGCTAGATGACGAGTTAGTGGGTGCAGCGCACCAGCATGGCACATGTATACATATGTAACTAACCTGCACATTGTGCACATGTACCCTAAAACTTAAAGTATAATAAAAAAATAAAAAAAATAAAGTGTGTGTGTGTATGACTTTAATTAACTTGATCACCCACACACACACAAACACTGACCAAAATTAATATCAAGTCAGGTCTGTCTGAATGTAAAGCCAACAGCAAACATCCCTCTCTCCAAATGGAAAAGAAACAGGGGGTTATGGGCAGCTACACTGCTAAATGTTAAAACTTTATTTTTAAATGTGGCCATAAAAATCACTAAATAAAATTGATAATATATGTTTTTGATGAATAAATTTTATATATGTCTACACTGGAAACTATATAGCAATAAAAACTAACCATGTACAACTAAACTCATAAATTTCATAAACATAATAAGTAAAAGAAGCCAGACAAAAAGTAGTGTATACTGTTAAATTCCATTTATATAAAAGTTCAAAAAAGCCAAAAAGAAACTATGCTGTTAAAAGTAAGGATTATAGTTACTATTCAGGGAAGAGAGTAGTGGCTGGAAAGAAACATAAAGGGGGTCTCTGAAGTGGAATAATGTTCTGTTTTTTGATCTGGGTATTAGGGTGTTTAATTTCGGAAAATTATTTTATCTTTATACTTATTGTATTATTGATTTTTTGCTTAACAAATTACTCAAAACTTAGAGGTTTAAAAAAAATTAATTATTGTATTAATTTCTCTGGGCCAGGAATTGGAGAGAGCTTAGCTGGGTAGTTCTGGTTCAAAATTTCTCATGAGATTACCGTCAAGCTGTTGGAGGGGGCTGCATCATCTGAAGGCTTGACCGAGGCTAGAGGATCTACTTTCAAGATGGCCCACTCACATGGCTGTTGGCAAGAAGTTTCAGTTTCTCACTAGCTTCTAGCAGGAGGCCATAATTTCTCACCACATAGATCTCTCTATAGGGCTACTCGAGTGTCCTCACAGCAAGGTAGCTGGCTTTCTTCAGAGCCAAGTGACTCAAAGGCAAAGAGGAAGTCACTATGCCATTTATGACCTAGTTTTGGAACTCACACTTTGTTCCGAATTGACCTTCCATCACTTTCTAGTCATTAGGATTTAAGTCACTAACTCTGATCCATAGTCAAGGGGAGTAAAATTTGGCTTTATTGTTGGAGGATGGAGTAGCAAAGAATTTGTTGACACATTTTAAAACTACCATACTTAAACAGTTCATTTTTCTGAATATGCTTCAATTAGAAGTTAAAATGATGCAATTTTAAAACATTGTTTCAAATGAACACTGTTAGGGAGAGAAGTGCTTCTTCTCCATATCTAATGTTTCTTCCATATTTAGGGAGTTCCATTAGTTTAACACTTTAAGCCTCTCAGCATGCACCACAACCCCCGCACCACCCTAGCATATTGTCTTTCCTTCCCAAGGGGAGGCAAAGTGATGCATTTGATGGTCAGTTGGGTATGAATAATCTGGGCCTGCTTAACTTCGCTCCTCCTTTTCCCCCTTTGAAAGTTATCATCCCTCTTGGAATACTTGCTTCTCGGTAGGATTTTGTAATTTGGGGAGTTTTATCTCAAGACTCAACATTTGTACATATGCTTTCCATACTGAGAAAATTTGGTGTAGAATTTGTAAATAAACGTAATATGTCAAGAAGCTTCTCATAGGGTTTGAATTCATGAACCATGGACTTTGTGTGAGTAGCACACACCCCCTTTTTTGGTTGGTAAAATATTATATTATGCCAAGAAGTTTTTTTAACATTATGTGGTTGGCATTTAACTGTTATGGCATGATGTTGGCAGTTGACTGCTGCTATGGCCATATTGTACACAGGCAAGTGGCTATTTCATAGAAGCAGGACTGTACATGTGGGCAACTGCACTCAAATAATTTTTGGGCTGTGCACGTCTCAGCTATAGCATGGCAGTGGGAAGACTGGGGATGTGTAAAGAGGTATACTTCAAATTTCAGGAGAGGTATGTGCCGCTAGACCATTCTAAGCCTAATGGTGGAGGCTTTATAATGTAGGCTGCTGCATCTTACTTTGCAAGCATACCTGAAGCAAAGATTCAAGTCTAGGAAAAAGACAATCCTTCCACATTCGACAATGGAAGACAGAACAATATTAGTTGCTTTAAAGGCAAGACTGCTGAGTCCTACATACACTGTAGAACACTGGGGAAATAACAGTTGTAGATTGTTAGAGACAGTCTCTAGATAACCAGCACTCAATCTGCTGCCCCAAATTCCACTCTGAATTTAGGACCAAGGAGGAACCCATGGAAAGACTTTCTTTGTCTATTTTGTGTTGCTATAATAGAATACCACAGACTGGGTAATTTTTACAGAGGAGAAATTTATTTCTTACAGTTCTGGAGGCTGGGAACTCCAAGGTTAAGAAGCCCACTCTGGCAAGGGCTTTCTTGCTGTGTCATCTCATGGCAGAGGGTGAAAGGGCAAGACAACATGCACATGTGAGAGTGGATGTAAGAGGGGTCTGAACTTGCTTTATAACAAGCCCACTCTCACAATAACAAACACTCCTGCAATAATGACACTCATTCATGAGAGCAGAGTCCTATGGTATTGTGAAATATATATTTGATCTTTGGCCCTGCTTCCTGGAATATAAGTTTTAAAATCCTTAGAAACTCCAAAATGATGTCTTTTTGTATGCTAAAGAGTTGACTGGTGGCTGGGAGCCCCTAGGTAACTTTAGGATGGAGGCTGGTCATTGAAAAGACCAAGCAGGACTAGAAGGCTGGGACTTTCAGCTCACCCTCAGCCTCCAGGAAGAAGAGAGGGGCTGAAAGTTATCGCCAATAGCCAGTGATTTAATAATCATGCTTATGTAGTGAAACTTTCATAAAAACCCCAAAAGACTGGGTTCAGAGAGGTTCTAGATAGCTGAACATGTACATTCCTACAGGAAGGTAAATAAGAACTCATCTACATGCTGGGAAGGTGGTGCGCCCCAACACCACCAGGATAGAAGCTTCTGTGCTTGTGACTCTTCCAGATCTTACCCTATGTATAACTTCATCTGGCTGTTTACTTGTATCCTTTACAATATCCTTTGCAATAATCTGGTAAGTGTGAGTGTTTTCCTTAGTTCTGTGAGCTGCTCTAGCAAATTAATTGAACCTGAGGAGGGGATTGTGTAAACCCTAATTTATAGCCAGTTGGTCAGAAGCATAGACAAAATAACCTAAGGCTTGCAACTGGCATCAGAAGTAAGCAGGGAGGGGGTGGGCCCAAGTAAGCAGGGAGGGGGTGGGCCTTGGGAACTGACTCCTCAACTTTTAGAAACTGATGCTATCTCCAGGTAGATAGTGTCAAAATTGAATTAGAGGACAGCCAGCTGGTGTCTGCTGCAGAATTAATTGCTTACTTATTGGTAGGGGAAAACCTCCACACATTTGTTCACAGAGGTCTTCTGTGTTGATTGTTGTTGTAGAGTGAGGAATAGAAAAGTCATTTTGAGTTTGAGTGAGCTTTTCCACACACAGCCGTCATAACCTAATCACCCCTGAAAGGTCCCACTTCTCAACTTTGTTGCATTGGGGATTAAGTTGCTAGCACATGAACTTTTGGGAACACATTCAAATTATAGCAATGACTAACCTTGAATTTGTGAGGTTTGTACACAGGTTCAAGAGTGGAAAATATTTAAGAATTACTGGGTGTGTTTCAAGGTGATCCTGTTATTGTAGGTAGCATGCAGGTGCTTTAAAGAAATGTGCCCAAGAAAATTTATGGAATTCAACAGCACAGGAAAAAAAAGGTACTAGGGAGAATAAATTAGTTTTCATGGAACACCCAAAAGTCAGTGGTTCTTGGTCTCAGCTCTATATTATACTCACTAATTAATTCAAAATGTCTAGGGGTGCAATCCAGGGATTGTATTGATATATTTCCTTGGGATAAAACATGAAAAGTGCCTAGCCTTGAGCCTGACAGATAGCTGACATCTACTAAATAAATTGATTCCTGTATCAATTTCCTCTTCCACATACCATGGTCTTTCATTTTCCATTGAGGACTGGCTTAATTACATAAGGAATTTTAATTATCTTTCCACCTTTTTTTTTTCACAAGAACAGATAATCCAACATTGCAATGTAACCCATCAGCCTAAGAAAAGTCTTATTAAATGGCCATTTTTCTTTGAGACTTAGTGATCTAATAATTTCAACTGCGTTTCCTTCTTTTCGCCTCCCCTGAGTGAATATCGTAAGCTTCCCAGATCTTTAACTAGCACCAACATTACAATTTGACCATAAAGATATAGAATAATTACATATGAGAGTAAGCTGGGTAGTAAGAAAAATAAAATTTCTGCTTCCATTTTTCAAATATATGGTGTTTCCAAGATATTTTTAGATCTTTTATGGCTGGATGCTTCCCAGGAAAGAAAGTTGGCTCTTCCATCAGAAAATCATTCATTTTATCTAAGGATTTTTAGATCTTTAGATCTTTTGAAAGTGCTTTCCAAAGCCAAAAATTCTGAATCCCTGAGGGATACTTAGCGAGGATTAAAAAAAAGGTATTGGGGAGTCAGCCAGCATCACACAGATCCAGGCCCACAGCCTGTCTTAGAAGCCACAGTTCCAGCTTCTAGACCCATGAGACTCCCTTGTTCTCAATTCAACCAGTACTGGTCACATCCTATTACTCATTACACACATTTGATACATATTTTATTTCTGAGTACTTACTGGGCTTAGTTTGCTTGACTTGCTTGTTTCTATATTAAATATTTTTTGGTTATTAAGAAAAGCCCAATTGCCAGTTATTATGGCTTTCAGTTATAAACTTCCTAATAATTTCTTGCTTGTTTATAACATTCCAGATAATTTTCATCTCTATTTTGCCATGAACCCTAACCTGTTTCCCAAAAGCATGATTTATGCAGAGAACAACATGTTCTATTGGAATCACTTGAAATAGTGTTACAAATTACTCTTGGAGATACTGTGAGCCAGGTGCAATGTTGTGTTTGCCTTAGTTAGTTGTCGCTCTTGGCGCTGCCACAACTGATGCTCACATTGTATTAAGTAGACATGACTTATTTGGGGGTCACCTTGCCAGCAAAGCTGACAGAGCTATCACTCCACTTGTCTTGATGCATGCTGTTTCACATTAGGACGATTCTAAATTACATTCCTTTTCATTTACTGTCTGTCATTTTATGCGGCTCTGTTCCTGGCCCACTGTCCCTTCTCTGTCTTTTTTATTCCACTATTTATATGACAACTGGATATCAGCCTTGGAAAGAGATTCTGAGCAGAAGATTTATCCTTCTGGGAGGTGTTCTTGTCAAAACCCATTTCAAAAACTCAGAGCTTTGAAGATGAAGTTGTTGATGGGCCTAAACTTTCTCTGAAGTGTAAAGAAGCTTCATAATCAAAAACAAAGTTTGGTAAGTGTATACTTAAATACTAAGTGTAATTATTTTTACAATAATAATGATGTTATAGCTACTAACACAGAATGCTAACTCTACTATATGTTCTAAACAATTTGCATGTATTGTCTTATTTAATCTCACAGCAGTCCTATAGAGATTTCTTTTATCCTTGGTCTTCAGACGAGGCACAGATAAATTAAGTAACATGCCCAACATCACTCAGCACCTAGATGTTACAGCCATTATTTTGAACCCTGACAAATCTGACTCCAGATTCAACAGCTCTTAATCACCTCCCATTGTAATAGAGAAGATTAAAATAGTAACTAAATAAACTCTCATGAAAAAGGACATGATATTCTAATCTCATCTCTTAGAATTAAGTCAATTGGTGGTAAATCACAGGTCTTACCAACTTGTATTTATGGATGTGGCAATTTTATTTTCTTTTAAGATACATGGACTATTCCTTATCATTTTATCCAATAAACATTGGTTGGGCAAACATCTGCCAGTTACCATACTGTGCATGGATAGGTCACAAAGTAAAAAAAAAAAAAAAAAAAAAAAGACACATTTCTGACCACAAGTTGTTCCCAATCAGATAAAAGAGGCAGAATGGAAATAAATCCGAAATAATATAGTGGGAGTAATGTTAGGAAGGGAGTGTACACAAAATATAAGGATGGGTGAAAGGAGACCACTTTATTTGGATTCATGGTAACATGTCAACATACTCTAATGTTCAAGTATTATCCTCAGCAATTCAGCTACTCAAAAAGGATCTAAAACCCTGCTTTTTAGCCAAATCAACTTTTCCCCAAGAGATGGAGAATGGTATTATGGCTTGGATGTAAGCTGTGGAGCTAGGGTAGTGAGATGGGTTCCCTTGACCCCATGGGGCTTGTGAAGCGCTGGCTCGCTTACTCAGCCTGCAGTGCTCAAACCCCTTGAAAGAGGGGGAAGATGTAGGTGAGTGGGTGCAGGAGCTGGGGTGAGTGCCTTTGGGCACCAGCAGGAATAAACTCCTTACCAGCCCACAGCAGCGTCTAGGGGCTGTCCACAGCCTCTAGAGCCCCAGAGGGCATGTGTTACAGTGTGCTGTTTTAGCTTTGCTGTCTACAGACAACTTAAGTGTTAAACAGCTCAGTGGAGAGTCAGTGTGACAGCCTACTGCACCCGCAACTGGGTCCTTGTCCAGTGCCCAAGAGGAATGAGGTCACACGGACTTGAAGGATGGTGAATGTGAAGATTTTATTGAGTGGTAAATGTGGCTGACAGCAGGATGGGGAACTGAAAAGGGGATAGAATGTGCAGGCAGTCTTCCCCTGGAGCTCAGCCAAACTCCTCTCCTTTCACAGTTTCTGATGTCCAGCAGCTTCTTCTCTTCTTGATGTTCAGATGCTTCTCTCTTCCGTGTGTGTATGAGCTGAGTTTGGGGTCTGGAGTTCTTATCGGCACAGGATGGGGGCATGCTGGGCCAAAAGGCAACATTCAGGTGGGAAAACAGGGAAGTAAAGTTCTCATTTAGGGCTGTGGGGCCCAGCTTTAGGGTGGAACCCTTGCCAGGGACTCCACCCTCTTCTACCCAGTATTTTCCAGCCTCCTGTCCATATCAGTAGCAGAGTTTGAATCCTGGCACTACTAATTTTGAGCAACTTACTTAACCTCACTGCATTTCAATTTTCTTATCTGTAAAATGAGCATAAGTTTAATAATAGAATTATTGTAAGAACTGAATGAGTTAATATGCATGAATTCTTTAGAATAGTGCCAAACATATAATAAGTACTATGCTACATGTATTAGTTATTGTAATTATAAGTAAAATATCTATATTCAATGGAATATCTTTATAAAATAAAAATGGATACCATTCTGCAAATGTACTACGATGTTAATAATATATACTTATTGAGCTGCTAATATATTCTAGGTACCATGCTAGGCTCTGGGGTAAAAGTTTAATTCAGCAGATCAGGAGTACCTAGGGAGTTTATAATAAAATGCAGACAACAAAAAGCTAGCCAAATATATTAGGATAAGTGATATTTTAATATAATATGCTATGAAAAACATAAATAAATAAAAAAATTAATTTTATCCTGAATGGATTCAGAAAAGCTTCATACAGTAGGGGACATCAGAGCTAGACCTTGAAGGAATCCAACAACATAAATATGAAAGTCATTCTGGGCATAGGGAGCAACATGGCAAAGATGTGAAGGGATAAGAATAGGAAGTTGAAGGCTCACGGGGTGCATATGGAGGAGGGTCTGCAGAAGAGCAGGGCGTATTAGTCCATTTTCACACTGCTGATAAAGACATACTTAAGACTGGGAAATTTACAAAAGAAAGAGGTTTAATGGACTTACAGTTCCACATGGCTGGGGAGGCCTCACAATCATGGTGGAAGGCAAGGAGGAGCAAGTAACATCTTACACAGATGGTGGTAAGCAAAGAGAGAGCTTGTGCAGGGAACTCCTGTTTTTAAAGCCATCAGATCTTGTGAGACTCATTCACTATCATAAGAACAGAGCAGGAAAGACTCGCCCCTATAATTCAATCATCTCCCACCAGGTTCCTCCCATGATCACAGGGGAATTGTGGGAGTTAAAATTCAAGATGAGATTTGAGTGGGGACATAGCCAAACCATATCACTCTGCCCCTGGCCCCTCCCAAATCTCATGTCCTCACATTTCAAAACCAACCATGCCTCCCCAACAGTCCCCCAAAGTCTTAACTCATTTCAGCATTAACTGAAAAGTCAACAGTCCAACATCTCATCTGAAGCAAAGCAAATGCCTTGCGCCTATGAGCCTGTCAACTTAGTTACTTTCTAGACACAATGGGGATACAGGCATTGGGTAAATACAGCCATTCCAAATGAAAGAAATTGGCCAAAACAAAGGGCTACAGGCCCTAGGCAAGTCCAAAATCCATCAGAGCAGTCAAAGCTTAAAGCTCCAACATGATCTCCTTTGACTCCATGTCTTGCATGTGGGTCATGCTGATGCAAAAGGTGGGTTCCCATGGTCGTGCGCAGCTCCACCTCTGTGGCTTTGCAGGGTACAGCCTCTTTCCAGGCTGCTTTCATGGGGTGGTGTTGAGTGTCTGCAGCTTTTCCAGGCACATGATACAAGCTGTCAGTGGATCTACCATTCTGGGGTCTGGAGGATGGTGGCCCTCTCCTCACAGCTCCACTAGGTGATGCCCCAGTAGGGACTCTGTGTGTGGGTTCCAACCCCATATTTTCCTTCCTCACTGTCCTAGCAGAGGTTCTCCAATGAGAGTGCTGCCCCTGCAGCAAACTTCTGCTTGGACATCCAGCTATTTCCATACATCCTCTGAAATCTAGGCAGAGGCTCCCAAACCTCAATTCTTGATTTCTGTGCACCTGCAGGCTTAATGTCATGTGGAAGCTGTCAAGGTTTGGGGCTTACACCTTCTGAAGTCACAACCTGAGCTGTACTTTGGCCCCTTTTAGTCATAGCTGGAGCGGCTGGGATGCAGGGCACCAAACACAGCATGGGAACCCTGGGCCTGGTCCACAAAACCATTTTTTCTTCCTAGGTCTACAGGCCTGTGATGAGAGGCGCTGCCATGAAGACCTCTGATATGCCCTGGAGACATTTTCCCCATTGTCTTGGTGATTAACATTCAGATCCTTGTTACTTATGCAAATTCCTGCAGCCAGCTTTAATTTCTCCTCAGAAAATGGGATTTTATTTTCTATCACATTGTTAGGCTGCAAATTTTCTGAACTTTTATGCTCTGCTTCTGTTATAAAACTGAATGCCTTTAAGAGCACTCAAATCACTTTTGAATGCATTGCTGCTCGGAAATTTCTTCCACCAGATACCCTAAATCATTTCTCTCAAGTTCAAAGTTCCACAAATCTCTAGGACAAGAGCAAAATGCCACCAGTCTCTTTGCTAAAACATAACAAGAGTCACCTTTGCTCCAGTTCCCAACAAGTTCCTCATCTCCATCTGAGACCACCTCAGCCTGGACCTTATTGCTCATATCACTATCAGCATTTTTGTCAAAGCTATTCAACAAGTCTCTAGGAAGTTCCAAAATTCCCCACATTTTTCTGTCTTCTTCTGAGCCCTCGAAACTGTTCCAACCTCTGCCTGTTATCCAGTTCCAAAGTTGCTTCCACATTACACATTTTTATATATCTTTTCAGCAATGCCCCATTCTCCTGATAGCAATTTATTGTATTAGTCCATTTTCATGCTGCTGATAAAGACATACCTGAGACTGGGAAGAAAAACAGTTTTAATGAACTTACAGTTCCACATGGCTGGAGAGGCCTCACAATCATGGTGGAAGGCAAGAAGGAGCAAGTCATGTCTTACATGGATGGCAGTGGGGCAAACAGAGAGCTTGTGCAGGGAAACTCCCATTTTTAAAACCATCAGATCTCATGAGACTCATTCACTATCATGAGAACAGCACAGGAAAGACCCACCCCCATAATTCAACCACCTCTCACTCCCATAATTCAATCACCTCCCACTAGGTTCCTCCCATGACACGCAGGAATTGTGGGAGTTACAATTCAAGATGAGATTTGGGTGGGGACACAGCCAAACCATATCACAGGGAAAGGTGGAGTTGGTGCTTATGAAGGACCTGGTAGTCAGTAGAGGAGTAACCTTGAGAGAGAGTAATATAACACGATAACATCTGCATTAGATGGATCACTCCTGTAGCACCATGGGAAATGGATATAAAGAAGGAAAAAAATGTAGAAAACCCATCACAAGATCATTGCAATGATCCTTCCTCAGGATGGATTGGGAGAGAGAAGATAGGATGGAAGTGACAGGAAAGCAGAGCAGTGGACAGATTTGAGAAGCATTTGCCAAGCTTTAATATACATATTGTATATCTAAATTAGTACAATTGTACAGTCTTAAGCATAAGATAATTCCTACATTTCTGTGAAATGAAAGCAGCATTTCCATCTACACTGAATTATTAATTTGATGAGAGTTTACTTTTATTTTGTTCTTGCTATATTCCTTAAGTAATTTAATCAAATTTAATATATTTTTAAATATTGTGGCTTGACCTTGGAAACCTGAAGGTAAAGAATGAGCCTATTCTTAAATCTGAGTTTAATGTCCTTCAGGAGAGTAAAAATTTCTCTCATAATTGCCTTCAGTACAAAAACAATTAAGTTAAAGCCTAGGTGAACTATCATAAGCAAATAAATGTTGACATTTAAAAATACAGCAGAAAACCAAACACATTTAAGAAGTTAGTACATGCAGAGATTCTAGTAATGGTAGGGAACTTACTTAAATATCTTTTCAATAACATTTATTATTTGAAGATGAGGAAACTGAGTGACTTGCAAAGGATACAAAACCGGCAAGGAGTCAGAGCCTGATCTAGGACCGACTCCAATCCAATTCACTTTTTAACACGGATTTCACTGTCTCCCGACAAGGATATTTTGTTATTCACATGTGTGATTCTCTAAAGCAGGATCTCTCAATCACAGCAGTATTGACATTTTAGACTAAATAATTCTTTGTTGTGGGCATGTACCTGTACATTGTAGAAAGTTTAGCAGCATTCCTGGCCTCCACCCACTAGATACTAGTAACATCCCCCTGCTACCCATTGTAGCAACCAAAATGTCTCCAGACATTGACAAATATCCCCTGAGAGGCAAAATGACCCCCTCCAGTAAAGAACAACTGTTCTAAGTCCTCTAGACCCCTAAAATATTGTGAACTTGGAGCTAAAATAGAAAGAATCCCAAAAACTCTCATATAATTTTAAATCTCAGTTACACTTTCTGCAATTTTCATATCCTTTTCTCAAAAAGTTCAGAATCTGTTTGCCTACTCTCTAACTCTCAATTTGCTATTACAGTCTTGTTAAAAGAAAAATCACTGACAAGTTAAATTTAACAGAGCTTAATTGAGGAAAGAATAATTCACTGGAGTCAGAGAGACTCCAGCGCAGCCAGGTGGTAGAAGATTTATGGACACAAAGGGAAGTAATGTACAGAAAATGGAAGTGAGGTACAGAAACAGCTGGATTGCTTACAGTTCTGTGTTTGCCTTACTTGAACCGAGTTTGAATAGTTGGCTGCCTTTAATTGGCCAAAACTGAGTGACTGGCACAAGAGTAGGTTATGGTTGGTTTACACACCCAGTTAGGTTACAGTTCACTGTGCACAGAGAAACCTTTAGGTAAAACTTAGACTCTGTAAGAAGGCATCTTTGGGCTAAACTTAATCTAACAGTCTTTTCTTTCTGTCTGCTCTCAGCCCAGTCCTTGCCATTCTCAGCTCTGCTTCGGGTCAGAGGAAACTACATTTTCCAGGGCCACTTGTTTTCTGGTTTCTAGGTGGCCTCAGTCAATGGAAGTCTGAGAGAAGACTGAAGTGGGCGGGAGAGAAGCCAGGGCACTTCTCTCTGTCCTCTCTCTCTTCTTCTGATAATGAGTGCTACGTCTCCATGGCTCCTGTTCCTGTTAGTCTTTCTCTGGAATCCAAGCCATGGTTCATCTTCTACAACGTGGCCCTGGATCCTGGGCTCTGGTAACATTATCTCTGTTTCTCCAGTCCTAAGGGTAGTAGTAACTCCTACTGTTGCTAATCTCTGGTTTACTTTGCCTCCTAATTGTCCTCTTACTTTTTCCATCACCTCTGTAAGCAGTTACTATGGATTGAATTGTTTCCCCCTAAAATTCGTATGTTGAAGCCCCCATTGTGGCTGTATTTGGAGTAAGAAAGTAATTAATGTTAAATAAGGTCATAAGGGTGGAACCCTGGACTGATAGGATTATTGTCTTTATAAGAAGACAAAACAGAGTGTACACTCTCTCTCTCTCTCTTTTTACCTTGTGAAGACACAGCAAGAAGTAGTTCAACTGCAAGCCAGGAAGACAGCCCTTACCAGGAACTGAATAGGCCAGCACCCCGATCCTTGACTTCTCAGACTCCAGAACTCTGAGAAAAAAAATTCTGTTATTTAAGCTACCTAGTCAGGTGTATTTTGTTATGACAGTCCAAGCTAATATAGGAGTTCATTGTTTGAAATAGCTGACGTTTTTCCATCAACCCTGACTAATACAAGTTCTTTATATCATTGATACCATATAATATTTGTTGATCCTGTAATATGTAGCCAACATTATGCAAAAGACATGTTAATATTCATTTTCTCATCTATCCCAATAACACCGTAACATATGACAAAATGGTATGAAGTAAAAAACATGGATTTTGAGTTACTTAGACTGCATCACAACTCCTCCACTTACTAGCTGCATGACCTACGAAAAGTTAAATCTCTCTAGGCCCTGCTTTCCTTATCTGTAAATTGGTCTAGTAATAGTATCAAACTAAGAAGGTTGTTCTGAATTAAATGAGTTACTCTATGTAAAGTACTTAGAATATATGTAGGCATACAGTACACTCTCAATAAATCTATTATTTTTAGCTGCAATTTGTTAAGTGCCTATTTTATGCCAAGCACAGCAATAGGTACTGGAGAAATAAAGACAAATAAAAAACTATCAATGCCTTCAAAGAGTTTGAGGATGCTAACAGAGGCAAACACATGAATGGGTAATTATAATAAAATATGGCAAGTTTATTGATAAATTTATTATGGGAAAGCTAACATGATCAACAGTCAGGGATTGGGACACATTTGACAGGGTTTGATTCCCAGTTCTGCCAATTACTAATTGACTCTGAGCAAGATATCTATCTCCTCTGAGCCTCAATGTTCTTACCTGTGAAATGGGAATGATAATAGTACCTACCTCATAAGGATATAGTGATTAAAAATGAGATAATAAAAGCACAGATTTGGGTATTGTTCCTGGAAGTTGACATGTACTCAAAGAAGGATAGCTTTTTTTTTTTTTTTTTTTTTGAGATGGAGTCTTGCTCTGTCGCCCAGGCTGGAGTGCAGTGGTGCAATCTCAGCTCATTGCAAGCTCCGCCTCCCGGGTTCAAGCGATTCTCCTGTCTCAGCCTCCTGAGCAGCTGGGACTACAGGTGCCCACCACCACGCCTGGCTAATTTTTTGTATTTTTAGTAGAGACGGGGTTTCACCATGTTAGCCAGGATGGTCTCGATCTCCTGACCTCGTGATCCATCCGCCTCAGCCTTCCAAAGTGCTGGGATTACAGGCGTGAGCCACCTCACCCAGCCACTATTTTTATCATTAATACGGAAGCATAGAATAAGGGTGCCTAACCCAGCCCAAAGCTCCCCCAAGTTTCCTACTGCTTGGCAGCCACTCTAATCTGCTTGACAAGAACTGCTCTTAATGTTTCTCCTCCTCAGAAGATGAGACTGAGTCTCTTATACTTTTCCAGTATCAGCATAAATTAGGACAAGAACTTTAGAAAGGCTGGGCGTGGCAGCTCACCCTGTAATCCCAGCACTTTGGGAGGCCGAGGCGGGCGGATCATGAGTTCAGGAGATTGAGACCACCCTGGCTAACACGGTGAAACCCCATCTCTACTAAAAAATACAAAAAATTAGCCAGGTGTGGTGGTGGGCGCCTGTAGTCCCAGCTACTCGGGAGGCTGAGGCAGGAGAAGGGCGTGAACCTGGGAAGTGGAGGTTGCAGTGAGCAGAGATCCTGCCACTGCACTCCACCCTGGGCCACAGAGCGAGACTCCATCTCAAAAAAAAAAAAAAAAGAAAAATTTAGAAAATTTCTTGACAGAATCTATTAAAGCTAAACATATGTATGCAAAGCAGTTCCACTCCTGCATATATAGCCAGAAATGAGTACATATATGTTCCAAATGACATATAAAAGAATGTTTATAGAAGCTTTACTCATAATTGTGACAAACTGAATGCAAACTATATACCCATCAACAGAAGAATGGATATATACACTGCGATATATTCATATGCAATGAAATGCTACATAGCAACTAGAATAAACTACAGCTACATGCAACAAATAGATGAATCTCACACTCAAGATGTTGAGTCAAAGAAGCCAGGGTGCACACTTTATTATTCCATTTAGAGAAAATTCATGAACAGGCAAAACGAGTCTATGTCACAGAAGTCAGAAAAGTGGTTACCTTGGGGAGGAGCCAAGATGTCCGAATAGGAACAGCTCCGGTCTACAGCTCCCAGCGTGAGCGACACAGAAGACGGGTGATTTCTGCATTTCCATCTGAGGTACCGGGTTCATCTCACTAGGGAGTGCCAGACAGTGGGCGCAGGTCAGTGGGTGCGCGCACCGTGCGCGAGCCGAAGCAGGGCGAGGCATTGCCTCACTTGGGAAGCACAAGGGGTCAGGGAGTTCCCTTTCCGAGTCAAAGAAAGGGGTGACGGACGCACCTGGAAAATCAGGTCACTCCCACCCGAATATTGCGCTTTTCGGACCGGCTTAAAAAAACGGCGCACCACGAGATTATATCCGGCACCTGGCTGGGAGGGTCCTACCCTCACGGAGTCTCGATGATTGCTAGCACAGCAGTCTGAGATCAAACTGCAAGGCGGCAACGAGGCTGGGGGAGGGGCGCCCGCCATTGCCCAGGCTTGCTTAGGTAAACAAAGCAGCCAGGAAGCTCAAACTGGGTGGAGCCCACCACAGCTCAAGGAGGCCTGCCTGCCTCTGTAGGCTCCACCTCTGGGGGCAGGGCACAGACAAACAAAAAGACAGCAGTAACCTCTGCAGACTTAAATGTCCCTATCTGACAGCTTTGAAGAGAGCAGTGGTTCTCCCAGCACGCAGCTGGAGATCTGAGAACGGGCAGACTGCTTCCTCAAGTGGGTCCCTGACCCCTGACCCCCGAGCAGCCTAACTGGGAGGCACCCCCCAGCAGGGGCACACTGACAACTCACACGGCAGGGTATTCCAACAGACCTGCAGCTGAGGGTCCTGTCTGTTAGAAGGAAAACTAACAAACAGAAAGGACATCCACACCAAAAACCCATCTGCACATCACCATCATCAAAGACCAAAAGTAGATAAAACCACAAAGATGGGGATAAAACAGAACAGAAAAACTGGAAACTCTAAAACGCAGAGCGCCTCTCCTCCTCCAAAGGAACGCAGTTCCTCACCAGCAACGGAACAAAGCTGGATGGAGAATGACTTTGACGAGCTGAGAGAAGAAGGCTTCAGACGATCAAATTACTCTGAGCTACGGGAGGACATTCAAACCAAAGGCAAAGAAGTTGAAAACTTTGAAAAAAATTTTAGAAGAATGTATAACTAGAATAACCAATACAGAGAAGTGCTTAAAGGAGCTGATGGAGCTGAAAACCAAGGCTCGAGAACTACGTGAAGAATGCAGAAGCCTCAGGAGCCGATGCGATCAACTGGAAGAAAGGGTATCAGCAATGGAAGATGAAATGAATGAAATGAAGCGAGAAGGGAAGTTTAGAGAAAAAAGAATAAAAAGAAATGAGCAAAGCCTCCAAGAAATATGGGACTATGTGAAAAGACCAAATCTACGTCTGATTGGTGTACCTGAAAGTGATGGGGAGAATGGAACCAAGTTGGAAAACACTCTGCAGGATATTATCCAGGAGAACTTCCCCAATCTAGCAAGGCAGGCCAACGTTCAGATTCAGGAAATACAGAGAACGCCACAAAGATACTCCTCGAGAAGAGCAACTCCAAGACACATAATTGTCAGATTCACCAAAGTTGAAATGAAGGAAAAAATGTTAAGGGCAGCCAGAGAGAAAGGTCAGGCTACCCTCAAAGGGAAGCCCATCAGACTAACAGCGGATCTCTTGGCAGAAACCCTACAAGCCAGAAGAGAGTGGGGGCCAATATTCAACATTCTTAAAGAAAAGAATTTTCAACCCAGAATTTCATATCCAGCCAAACTAAGCTTCATAAGTGAAGGAGAAATAAAATTCTTTACAGACAAGCAAATGCTGAGAGATTTTGTCACCACCAGGCCTGCCCTAAAAGAGCTCCTGAAGGAAGCACTAAACATGGAAAGGAACAACCGGTACCAGCCGCTGCAAAATCATGCCAAAATGTAAAGACCATCGAGACTAGGAAGAAACTGCATCAACTAACAAGCAAAATAACCAGCTAACATCATAATGACAGGATCAAATTCACACATAACAATATTAACTTTACATGTAAATGGACTAAATGCTCCAATTAAAAGACACAGACTGGCAAATTGGATAGAGTCAAGACCCATCAGTGTGCTGTATTCAGGAAACCCATCTCACATGCAGAGACCCACACAGGCTCAAAATAAAAGGATGGAGGAAGATCTACCAAGAAAATGGAAAACAAAAAAAGGCAGGGGTTGCAATCCAAGTCTCTGATAAAACAGACTTTAAACCAACAAAGATCAAAAGAGACAAAGAAGGCCCTTACATAATGGTAAAGGGATCAATTCAACAAGAAGAGCTAACTATCCTAAATATATATGCACCCAATACAGGAGCACCCAGATTCATAAAGCAAGTCCTGAGTGACCTACAAAGAGACTTAGACTCCCACACATTAATAATGGGAGACTTTAACACCCCACTGTCAACATTAGACAGATCAACGAGACAGAAAGTCAGCAAGGATACCCAGGAATTGAACTCAGCTCTGCACCAAGCAGTCCTAATAGACATCTAAAGAACTCTCCATCCCAAATCAACAGAATATACATTTTTTTCAGCACCACACCACACCTATTCCAAAATTGACCACATACTTGGAAGTAAAGCTCTCCTCAGCAAATGTAAAAGAACAGAGATGATAACAAACTATCTCTCAGACCACAG
Source organism: Homo sapiens (assembly GCF_000001405.40). NCBI lineage: Eukaryota > Metazoa > Chordata > Mammalia > Primates > Hominidae > Homo > Homo sapiens. The sequence goes on from NC_000012.12 coordinate 71,120,750, forward strand.
TGCAATCAAACTAGAACTCAGGATTAAGAATCTCACTCAAAACCACTCAACTACATGGAAACTGAACAACCTGCTCCTGAATGACTACTGGATACATAACGAAATGAAGGCAGAAATGAAGATGTTCTTTGAAACCAACGAGAACAAAGACACAACATACCAGAATCTCTGGGACGCATTCAAAGCAGTGTGTAGAGGGAAATTTATAGCACTAAATGCCCACAAGAGAAAGCAGGAAAGATCCAAAATTGACACCCTAATATCACAATTAAAAGAACTAGAAAAGCAAGAGCAAACACATTCAAAAGCTAGCAGAAAGCAAGAAATAACTAAAATCAGAGCAGAACTGAAGGAAATAGAGACACAAAAAACCCTTCAAAAAATTAATGAATCCAGGAGCTGGTTTTTTGAAAGGATCAACAAAATTGATAGACTGCTAGCAAGACTAATAAAGAAAAAAAGAGAGAAGAATCAAATAGACACAATAAAAAATGATAAAGGGGTATCACCACCAATCCCACAGAAATACAAACTATCATCAGAGAATACTACAAACACCTCTATGCAAATAAACTAGAAAATCTAGAAGAAATGGATAAATTCCTCGACACATACACTCTCCCAAGACTAAACCAGGAAGAAGTTGAATCTCTGAATAGACCAATAACAGGAGCTGAAAATTGTGGCAATAATCAATAGTTTACCAACCAAAAAGAGTCCAGGACCAGATGGATTCACAGCCGAATTCTACCAGAGGTACAAGGAGGAACTGGTACCATTCCTTCTGAAACTATTCCAATCAATAGAAAAAGAGGGAGTCCTCCCTAACTCATTTTATGAGGCCAGCATCATTCTGATACCAAAGCCGGGCAGAGACACAACCAAAAAAGAGAATTTTAGACCAATATCCTTGACGAACATTGTTGCAAAAATCCTCAATAAAATACTGGCAAAACGAATCCAGCAGCACATCAAAAAGCTTATCCACCATGATCAAGTGGGCTTCATCCCTGGGATGCAAGGCTGGTTTAATATACGCAAATCAATAAATGTAATCCAGCATATAAACAGAGCCAAAGACAAAAACCACATGATTATCTCAATAGATGCAGAAAAAGACTTTGACAAAATTCAACAACCCTTCATGATAAAAACTCTCAATAAATTAGGTATTGATGGGATGTATTTCAAAATAATAAGAGCTATCTATGACAAACCCACAGCCAATATCATACTGAATGGGCAAAAACTGGAAGCATTCCCTTTGAAAACTGGCACAAGACAGGGATGCCCTCTCTCACCACTCCTATTCAACATAGTGTTGGAAGTTCTGGCCAGGGCAATTAGGCAGGAGAAGGAAATAAAGTGTATTCAATTAGGAAAAGAGGAAGTCAAATTGTCCCTGTTTGCAGACGACATGACTGTATATCTAGAAAACCCCATTGTCTCAGCCCAAAATCTCCTTAAGTTGATAAGCAACTTCAGCAAAGTCTCAGGATACAAAATCAATGTACAAAAATCACAAGCATTCTTATACACCAACAACAGACAAACAGAGAGCCAAATCATGAGTGAACTCCCATTCACAATTGCTTCAAAGAAAATAAAATACCTAGGAATCCACCTTACAAGGGATGTGAAGGACCTCTTCAAGGAGAACTACAAACCACTGCTCGAGGAAATAAAAAAGGATACAAACAAATGGAAGAACATTCCATGCTCATGGGTAGGAAGAATCAATATCATGAAAATGGCCATACTGCCCAAGGTAATTTACAGATTCAATGCCATCCCCATCAAGCTACCAATGACTTTCTTCACAGAATTGGAAAAAACTACTTTAAAGTTCATATGGAACCAAAAAAGAGCCCGCATCGCCAAGGCAATCCTAAGCCAAAAGAACAAAGCTGGAGGCATCACACTACCTGACTTCAAACTATACTACAAGCCTACAGTAACCAAAACAGCATGGTACTGGTACCAAAACAGAGATATAGATCAATGGAACAGAACAGAGCCCTCAGAAATAACGCCGCATATCTACAACTATCTGATCTTTGACGAACCTGAGAAAAACAAGCAATGGGGAAAGGATTCCCTATTTAATAAATGGTGCTGGGAAAACTGGCTAGCCATATGTAGAAAGCTGAAACTGGATCCCTTCCTTACACCTTATACAAAAATCAATTCAAGATGGATTAAAGACTTAAACATTAGACCTAAAACCATAAAAACCCTAGAAGAAAACCTAGGCAGTACCATTCAGGACATAGGCATGGGCAAGGACTTCATGTCCAAAACACCAAAAGCAATGGCAACAAAAGACAAAATTGACAAATGGGATCTAATTAGACTAAAGAGCTTCTGCACAGCAAAAGAAACTACCATCAGAGTGAACAGGCAACCTACAAAATGGGAGAAAATTTTCGCAACCTACTCATCTGACAAAGGGCTAATATCCAGAATCTACAATGAACTCAAACAAATTTACAAGAAAAAAACAAACAACCCCATCAAAAAGTGGGCGAAGGACATGAACAGACACTTCTCAAATGAAGACATTTACGCAGCCAAAAAACACATGAAAAAATGCTCATCATCACTGGCCATCAGAGAAATGCAAATCAAAACCACAATGAGATACCATCTCACACCAGTTAGAATGGCAATCATTAAAAAGTCAGGAAACAACAGGTGCTGGAGAGGATGTGGAGAAATAGGAACACTTTTACACTGTTGGTGGGACTGTAAACTAGTTCAACCATTGTGGAAGTCAGTGTGGCGATTCCTCAGGGATCTAGAACTAGAAATACCATTTGACCCAGCCATCCCATTACTGGGTATATACCCAAAGGACTATAAATCATGCTGCTATAAAGACACATGCACACGTATGTTTATTGCGGCATTATTCACAATAGCAAAGACTTGGAACCAACCCAAATGTCCAACAATGATAAACTGGATTAAGAAAATGTGGCACATATACACCATGGAATACTATGCAGCCATAAAAAAGGATGAGTTCATGTCCTTTGTAGGGACATGGATGAAATTGGAAATCATCATTCTCAGTAAACTATTGCAAGAACAAAAAACCAAACACCGCATATTCTCACTCATAGGTGGGAATTGAACAATGAGATCACATGGACACAGGAAGGGGAATATCACACTCTGGGGACTGTGGTGGGGTGGGGGGAGGGGGGAGGGATAGCATTGGGAGATATACCTAATGCTAGATGACGAGTTAGTGGGTGCAGCGCACCAGCATGGCACATGTATACATATGTAACTAACCTGCACAATGTGCACATGTACCCTAAAACTTAAAGTATAATAAAAAAAAAAAAAGAAAAGTGGTTACCTTTAGGGAAATATTTACAGAGAGGGCAGTATATTGGTAAATGTTTATCAACCAGCTCTCCAGAAAAGAAAGAAAAGAAAAGAAAGAAAAGCCCTGAATTTACAGCATTTGTTAGTTTCTATGGCATAAATACTCCGAGCATGGTAGATTTCAAGGTACCAATCTCATGTTACTGAACACAAAGTTGGGAAGAACTTTGTGTACAAAACTTTTGTGTATATGTGTACAATCTGCTTAGCAAGTCTGTGTGAGCCAAATACACCCCACCACTGAGAGGTGGCATGAAGGAGCATTCTGGTGTGCTAGAAATATTCTGTATCTTCTTTTTTTTTTTTTTGGAGATGGGGGTCTCACTTTATTATTCAGGCTGGTCTCAAACTCCTGGGGTCAAGAGACCCTACTGTCTCAGCTTCCCAAGTAGCTGAGCTTACAGGCATGAGCCACTGTGCCCAACTCTGATCTTAGTCCTTACACAGATGTACATATATTAAAAGAGCTATACTTTAAGAATTATCGACTATATTGTATGTATGTTATACTTCTATACAAAGCAAAAATGTTAAATATTTCTGAGAACTAGAAAGAAAAAAAAGTTACAACTGTTGTGTCTGAGAGGAAGATCCAGATGGGTACCAGAGAAGCAATGGCTGGGTGCTGGGCACTCAGACCTTTTTGTTCATACAATAGATATGCAGCAAAAGAGAGACATACTATTAGTAGCTTTGACATAAATAGAAAAGAGATGGTGACTCTTTTACCTGGATCATTGTCAATTATTTTAACATTAGACTTGATTCAGTCTTATCACCAATGGTTGATACATCATATAAAAGAGTGTCGTTTCTGAAAAGCCCCAGATCCACTGTCTTAACTATCTATGGCCCTGTCACCTTAGAGATGATTATTCCACTGGGTGGCTCCAGAAGAACATTTTAAGCACTGTAGCACCTGAATACAATGATCAGACATAGAAAAGCACCAACGTAAACAGTTACTTTTATTTTGAGTAAAAATACACATTCATATCATTTTCCCTTATATCCCTCAAATCTTAAATGTGTTCAATATGTCTAGAAGATATCTGTGGTCTAGCTAGCCGAGACATTTTAAAAAGACAGCTGCTCCTGACTTATATAGCACTTACATATTTAAATTTACAAAGCCAAAGCAACATTTTAAAGGGGTTTGACTGACGATAGGTTGATGCATCCACAGATTCATTTGTTCCCGATCTGGCAATACAGGACCATAGAAAACACCAAACCCAGTATCTAGAGAACAAAATAACAGGATTAACATGGAATTTAAGGGAAAACACTGGACACATTATAAATAAACAGAAAGAACATTATATATGAAAAGATTTTGTATATTGACAGTTCCAATCTTATCTAACTCATCTCTCTTGGGAAATTAGAGGTTCCAATGGGACAAAAGAGCACTGCAAAAGCTCTCTTGAGTTTTTTTTGTGTTTTAATCAGCTTTTTTAGCTGGCCAATCAGCCTCTATCTAACTGGCCCCATATAAACTGCACAGTAGCAGCTGCCACCAGAGGACCTACTCCCTTTTCTGGAACACACACATTCTTCTGCAGAGCGTCTCCTCTGGAGCACTGGGGATCTCAGGTCCCTGGGGGCTAAATATACGTAATGCTTCCATAAAAAGGTTATGATCATCTGGTTTAAATCATCTGCATAAAAATCAAGAAGTCTAGAATTTCTCTTGCTGTAGTTTTAGGCATTTCCAAGAGGAATAAAAAATGAAGTAACTCTTTTTTTAAAAAAGCTTCTAAACTATGGGGAACAGCTTAATTCAGGAATTTCTTTTGAAGTGAAAAAGCACAGCTGAAAATCTGGGGCATAATTTCCATCTCAAGTAGCTCTCCCAAGAATGAGGGACCCCAAAATTTGCTCTAATTGGCTCTACAGTTGGTGACTTGCATGCTGTATCTTTGACGTAGAAATGATAGACAGGACCTGTGTGCATTACCAATAGAAAGTTTCCTCCCCCACCAGCCCCTTTTGAAGGGAGGATGGAGGAAGGCAAAGTGACATTTATGCTGAGTCAACTTAAATGCTTCTACTGTGTTGAGACTTTCTGCTTACTAACACTTTCCTGGAAATGTAATTCAAATGAGAACTGCTAACCAATCTTTCTTCCTTCTTAAAAAGGTTGACACCAATTCTCTGCAAAAGTAATAATTTCCATTCAAAATGTGCTACAATTGAAGACTGAAATTTAGTCTTTTTGTCTTGATCCTGAGCCTTAAGTCTGTGGGACAAGTATCAAGAAAGAATTTTTTTAATGGGGAAAAAATAATGGGATAAGACAACTATCATCTTTCACTGCTACATCCTTGAAATAGAAGCCGTCAATTTATCAGCAGACTAGATAGTTAATATCACACTTTCTTGTATTTCATTGTCCCTGAAAAGAACATTTATGATTGTTCAAAAAAAAGCACATAATTAAAAGAGATTTGTCATTTTATAATGTACGCCAAGACTCATGATAAATTTGCTAAGAGGTATGCAGCAGTCTAAAAAAATGTAAAATTATCATTTTTCTTTTAACTGCTTTATTTCTAGGACCTCCTGTTGGGATAACTTTTATCCTACAAAGTGATGGCTCTCAGTGTGTAGCACTTTTTTTTTTTTAATTAAAGCAAGGAAAGTGCTGATCATCTTTTGTGCTTGTAAGTTGTTATAGTCAAATGAGGAGAGTATGATAGTCTGGCTGTTTTAAGCTAGAGTAATGAGAATTCCAAAAATGTCTATAGATAAATTTTTCTTGCAGAATAAGGTATTCTGCACAATCTTTAGCATCCAATGTGAGAAGAATCCCTTAGGTATATAGTCTTAACATAGCTTTGAAAACAAATATTGGCCCACCTCACTAAAACCTATGCCTAAACATACTAACATAAGGTCTAAATATGGGGCGGTCTTTTTTTATATGATATTTTTCTGTGGAGATAATCTGAACATATTTTCTGCAGGAAGACATTTGCTTCTGTTTTCTTAAAAGTATTTTTTAGAGGAGATTTTCTGTTTCTGTATCTTTGTGTTTTTTTGAATTTGAACTTTGGAAACAAAGAAGGGAGATAGGCCTAAGTCATAGGGCAATAGGAAACTTGTACTAATGACTGTAAGATGAGCTATAAAATGCTTTGTTTTTGGATACATAATTTATAGACTGGGTGTCAGAAGACTTTTCCAATCTACTTTTTGAATAAAGGAAGATGGAATATAAAATGATTTGTTTCCCTTAAAAAGAGGGAGGGCAGGTTATAGACTGAGGAACTGAACAATTTTAAAAAGTTCAAACAATTATTTGAACCAACTATTTACCATATCTGCAGAGAGTCTAGAAATCACAATTAATTTGACTTCTCGAATTCAAAAACGGTTCTGTTTTATGATAGTAACGCAAAAACTTCATACCTATAAATTACTGTATAGAATGTTTGTATTAAGCTATTTTTCTCTGAATATGTCTTTAGAAGAACAAATAAAATATTTAAACATGTAATTAATACATGGAATATAACAATTTCATAAAATACTGAAATACATTAATCTTTTTGTAATCTTATTTTCCACTAGATGTATTTAAATTCTTGAAAATGCCTTTGACTATGACACAAAGGATTTCATCAACCTCCCCAATCAAGTATGTCCTTACTTTTTCTGGTTTTGCTAACTGAGGAGCATCTGTGATTTGAGCTAGTGATAGTCAATTGTCAGAACTTGAGTCTAACATGAAATATAACTCTTATATTAAATATCTCATTTAAAGCATGCTCTCTCATTCACTTAAATCATTCATGTAAAATCACTCTTGATTCATTTAAATCATTCATTTCTTACTCATCTTCATGGCCATTAGTCCTTATTTCTAAATTAGCATAAACCCAGAATACAAAGCAGAGAAATAAAATACATCTTACAAAATGCAGAATCAAGAGAAATAGACCTAATCCATAGCACCATTTGACTCTGAACATATATCAGACCTAAAGAAAGACAGCCATAACCTACCAACAAAGAATGCTTCATATTTATACCTATTCATCTGGACTACAAGAAAGTAATAACCCACAGTTTAATTTGCTGCTAATAGTCCCTAACCTTTCTCTAATAGCTGCCTGGGAAATTCCACCAGCAAACTAAATAACCACTTAGGACACTAAATTGCTTCATTCCCAGTTAAAATTTCTTTCTGGCAGTGATGTGGCACGAGTAAGAGGTAGAAAATTACCAGAAAGCCCAAGGAGTACCTTGCACAGCATTCCATGAGTGTGAAGCACAAGGCACTCAGCTGAGCTAACCAGCTCTCACAGGCATTAACCAGGGAGACACTTCACATTCTTGCTAATGCCCTGGAATAGGATTGTGAGTGAATTTGATCTACTTGATATTAAAATTACCCAAGATCTGGGATGATTCCAAAATGCTTCTCTGAAGCAGTTTTAATTCATTTTCTTGGCAAAGATTTTTAGGCCATGTGAAAAGTATCTTTCAGGTTTTTTTTTTTTTTAAAAAAAAAACATGCCAAGAAAGTTCATCAAGACAAAAATCCTATGTGGGATATTTTTCCAACATCAATAATTAAAGTGATGAAAGTAATACATAAGCCTCAATTTTCCTTGAAAATTTCTCCAAGTGAGTCAATAGTACTTAAGCTGAGGAAATCAGAGACAATTACCTCTACTTTTTAGAACTTCTTGGATTTCTCTAGAATGTAATAAGTAACAAAGAAAGAGCTCCTCACACTCTTGAGTTCAGTTTTTATTTTCTGTTTCAAAATCAAGATGAGAAATAAGAAATTGTAAAGGTCGTATTTTGCTTTGTTTGGTGCTTTTTCTTCTAACTTTGGAAAACTGTAACCCCTGTGCTAGTTTTCAGTGGGAAAAATATACCTGGCACTAAGAACTATGTGAAAATTAATTCTATCTTTTTCCCGGTAGAGAGGTCATTCAGAAGCAAGAATCTCAACCCTGCTCACTTCATAAGACTGGAATCTCCCCCTCAGACTCAGGCTGATCGAGGGAGATGATGGGCCTTTAGCATCCAGTGCTTTTCTAAAGCATCTGCGTTTTTTATGGTTGTTGTGGTTTTTTTTTTTCTGTTTGTTTGTTCACCATCAATATTTCTTGAAATTAATGAACAAGCAAGGGAATAAAAGAGTCAATAATACAAGATTATACTGTACCTCAATAACTGCCAGTCCAAATGATATTCCAATAACTATAATCAAATTTTTTGCCAAGAAGTCTTTTATGAAAGAAATACAGGTCTGTTAAAAAAAAAAAACATTAAAAGTTACCTCTCAGAAAAATTCGACCTTATATTAATCAAAATTTTTATTAATCTGGTTGACTTTTTACATTGCTATCAAGAAACACACTTAACGACAAGGAACTGGGTTATTCCTTCCACTCCCTGCTTCACCTTTGCTCCAAAAGGTTGTAACTGTTGTGGTTTGTTTATACATTGAAAAGCAATTGAGGAACAAAATTTTGCTTGACTGCCTAATTGTTGAATCTAGGGATTAATAATTACAAATAATAATTTTTCACCAACATATCCTCAAATGACAGATTTTATAATTTATACTATAAATTTTATAGCTGATAAAGCTATATATTTTACAACATAAAAGTATAAATCATAATTTTATCTTAACTTTATTCATTTTAGAGCTGATACCACCTTGACTAAGGATTTTTTAGGTTTGTAATCTAAAACAGAAAGGTTTCTGGTTGAGATTTTAGATAATAATATTGTAAATTTTCATTTTTAAAACAAGGTATTTTCTTTTTTTCTTTCTTTCTTTTTTTTTTTTTTTCTTTGAGACAGGGTCTCCCTCCAGCGCTGAAGCTGGAGTGCAGAGGCGCAATCTTGGCTCACTGCAGCCTTGACTTCCTGGGCTCAAGTGATCCTCCCACCTAATCCTCCCAAGTAGCTGAGACTGCAGGCATGTGCCACCATGCCTGGCTAATTTTTGTTGTGTTTTGTAAAGACATGGTTTTGCCATATTGCCCAGGCTTGTCTTGAACTCCCGGGCTCAAGCAATCCACCGGCCTCAGCCTCTGAAAATGCTGGGATAACAGGCTTGAAGTCACTGCTGCCGGAAAAAACAACATATTTTCAAAATCCCTTAATATTTATCAGGGTTATTTTTATCTTAAAAAGAAAAAACTTACTATGTCTACCACTATGCCATTACTTTAGATAAAAAAGAGAAATTAGGAAGTTGCCTCTCTGCTACATTTTTGAAATGTATACAATCCAGGATGCATTTTCATGCTTAAAACATTTTGGACTAGACCTAATAACTTCAAGAATTGTAAATTATGTGAAGAATTTTTTAAATGGAAAAAGACTACACAGTATAATTGTGTTATTTTTGTACTGCCCTGAAATATATTATCCCTTTGATGGTCATATATGTGCAAAGGGCTAACAAAGTATTGCTATTTGTTAAATAAAATAAAATTTCTCCAGAAGGCTAAGTCATCTTTCCCCTTCATTCCTGAATGTATTGAGTTTCTTCATTCACATTTAACCCAACGTGGTAAACATTCAAGGAAATTATTATGTCATTTAGGTTAACAATGAGATTAATGATTATATCTACTGAGTCACATTCATTATGTTTCAGGGGTTTTTCTCTTCCTCTTTGCCTAAGATAATGAGGGTATCTTGGCAAAAGGAAGAGGAAAAAAAAGAAATGTGAATTATGGCCATTCCATATTTTTTATTTTACCAGACTTCTTGCAAATGACACATGGCAGATGGAAGTATTTTATGAATTTACAACCTTCCTTTTGGGAAACTGGTGTAGCTATCAGCCTATATTCAGCTGAATTATGTGTGAACTTACAGAAACTATCTAATAGTTTTTTTAGAATAATTCCAGGGGCTTTTCAGAATCTGTCTTGAGGAAAAACATCTTTCAGTTGAATTTGAACAGGAGACAAATAGCAATCTGCAATTGAATTTACTTATTTCCTCATTATCCTAAGTGGAAACTATTTTTATTTACTCTATATTTATTTCCCCTTTTCCTTGTAAATACTGTGTCACTAACATTAGGTAGGGAGGAGGGGAGCAGGGAGAATATAAAAAGTAAGAATCAAACTTTTTTTAGTAATATTACTTTGACAATGAAAAACGCAATATAACCTGTAGTCTGGTAGATTATTTATTGAGTTACTTTAAATCTTAGCGACATACTTTAAGTATTAATGACAGCAATTCCCCTTCAGGGCAGAGCCTCTTTAATTTTGATAAGATCAGTGAAAAAGATCAGTAGTCAAGGAAAGGGTAGTTTCCCCTGAGATACTTTCTATTTCCTTTTATAAATTATTTTCAGTAGCAGTTACTAAACCAAAACATTTCTAGATTGAAAAGAATCTTCGGGTATTATAGATATTAATATTAATTCATTGTGATTTATAGTGGTTTTTAATGTATCTGCCTCTCAACTAGATTGTAATCTCCTAGAGGATCCAGAAGCATGTCTGATCCTAGCAAGGGTCTGTCTGACATGTAGTAGGCACTGAAGAATAACAGTAAATAAATGAAATACTAATATCAATTGTAATTTTTGTACACATTTCTTCTAAGCAGAACGAACAACTTATGAAGGGACAGATGTCATGTTCTTCATGAAGCCATATCCTGAACCCCACAGACTAAGTGAGATGGGGTCCCATAACACCTTGCACCCATCTCTATCCAAGAGATACTAGTAGACCATTGGATTGAAGTTGCCTAACTATCTTTCTCTCTTCCTTACTTGAGCATCAGCTCCATGAGCGCAGACATTGTGCTCTGTTCAGGAATGAATTCCCGGTGACTGGTAGAAAGCTTGGCGCATAGGAGGTGGTCAGTAAGTATTTGATGAACTGATCAATAAGAAGAACTAGGACATCCATGTATTGACATTCACAAGTCACATAAATATGACATCTACAACACATAAAAGATTAACCTATCTTTTTCAATTGACATTAAATGTTCAAGGTAACTTCTCAATTGCAGCAATAACTAGGTAAATTGGTAGCTGTCAGTAACATAGAGAACCTAAACCCTTAAATGTATTTGGGAAGGACTTGGAGTCCTTTCTTTAAATTTTGGGAAAGAAGAAACCTCATTTCTTGAGAAAAGGAAATTTGATTAGAAAACAAAAAACATTGAAAATTGTAGTGAAAATATTGTTTTCTAGAACTTATGTTAAAGTAGGAAAAAATAAAAGAGAATAATGATTAAGATGACCAAAGAGAGGATAAAATAAACTTTTATGTTAGTTTGTACTTTGCCTCCCATTGCAGTAGAATGTTTCTTTGACCTATTAATATTGGGCTTAAATGATGCCAGACTCATAGAAGAAATGAAGTCTATCTGCTTTTATCTTTAAATAAGGATTTTTTTAATTTGGGAAATTTCTGAGATTTTTATATCATGATTCCCATGGTACTCCATGCATTTTAATTTTTTGTAGGGACTTTAATTGTGAAAAGAAAGTAACAGAATTGCTTATTGTACCAAATGTGATTTAGTTCTCACCTCTTTGTAAACTTGTTTTCCATTATAGCTTTGGCATGGTCTCTGCTTATCTAGACAGGCACATAATTCAGGATAGTGTTGAAAATTATTTCCCCAATCAGCAGCTCCATTGACCAAACCGCAGCATTTAAACTGTTTGATAAAAGGTAGAATGAGAAGCAGTCAGTAAGAAGATTAAAAACATTGGCAATACATTAAATTATAATCTTCTGAAATCATTATTAAAGGTTATTATGCTAAAATACCATGTAAGTCACCTTTCACCTTTCTCTGTGTAGAAGTAAAAATTAAGGATTTTTGCATTTTGATCTTTACATTAATGATGGAAAAATGGAGTTGCAGACTCAAAAATCTGAAGAAGTTGGGAAGATGAAAAACTCACCTACTAGGTTTTTTATTTTTATTTTTTTGAGATGGAGTCTTGCTCTGTCACCAGGCTGGAGTGCAGTGACGCGATCTCGGCTCACTGCAACCTCCAACTCCCTGGTTCAAGGGATTCTCCTACCTCAGCCTCCCGAGTAGCTGGGATTACAGGCATGCTGCACCACCACGCCCAGCTAATTTTTGTATTTTTAGCAGAGACCGCGTTTTACCATGTTGGCCAGGATTGTCTCAATCTCCTGACCTCGTGATCTGTCCACCTCAGCCTCCCAAAGTGCTGGGATTCCAGGCATAAGCCACGGTGCCCAGCCTCACCTACTAGTTTTTAATGACAAAAGAGAGTCAGATCTCTGTAATTTAGATATTGTCAAAAAAGTTTCCAAAGAATTCACAAGAGAGTCAAAGAATTGTTGCTCAAAAGAGACATGAAGTTTTAAAAGTGAAATTTCCACTCCATGATCTCTGATCACTTTTGAAAGACAGGAGGAAAAAAATGAGAGATATTGCAAAGACCCAAATAGATGCTCAAGGAGCCTCCCATAAGATTGAATTTTATGAACATCTTTAAAATATGGGAGGGAACACAAATGAAGAATGAAGCTCTTAGAATGTCAGGAAAGTTACAGTCCCAGAATAAACTGATCCATGGAAAACACTAAAAAAGAGGGTTTGCAGCCACATTTGAGGAAGAAAAACAAGGAAATGATAACCCCAAGAATCAGGGCATGTGGCACATGATATTATTAGATGGGAGAAAGAAAGATAATTATCCCTCATGTTGCTTCCATCTGCTCAATTAAGGGGAAAACACTTCGTGCAGAAATGGGAGGAAAAAAAAATGGCTGAGAAAAACAGAACCAAGACTGAGTGGTTTTCCCAGCTCTGATACATTGCAATGCCAAGATATTGAAAGAATTTTCACTTACTGGGCAGGTAATCATTAAATTTATTTATTACATTAATAATAAATGTGTAATAAAATCATTTATTACACATTAGTTTAACCTCTGTGCCAAAGTTTGTTCATCTGTAAAATACAGATAGTAACAGTTGCTAATAATAGCATTTAATTTGCAGATTTATCATAAAGATAAACATAAGAAAATCCATGTAAAGATAAGAACTCCCAGGTTGAAGAAAGCACTCAATAATGCATTTGCTTTTATTGTTTTTGTTTTCATTGTTTGCTGTTGGTGTTGTTTCTGTCATGCTCTCACAGGAACATGATCTGTTCAGCATTGTTATCAATGATTTGAATAAATAGAAAAAAATATCTTTCCAATTCTGTAGTTTCTGTAGAGCTAGGAATGACAATTAATATGCTGGAGATCAGAGTCAAATTTCAAAGATAGTTCAAATAACAGAGATAAACTAACAAATTCAACTGAGGCAGATACGAAGTCTTGTACTTATGTCCAAAGACTGAGTTACACAAAAACATTACTCAACAGATGTTTATATGACAAAGAGCTGGAAATTTCAGTTTGTTTCAAGGTCAGTACTAGCAAGGAGGGTGCTCTTGAAACAACCTCCTTTCCTGTTCCCATGGTAGACATGATTAATTGTTTATTCTTTCTGATTACATAATCTTGAGTAGTATTCACTGATACAGATACCCTCTGTCAAATGTAAATTAAATTCCACTATAAAATTTATATTCTCATTTACAGATCGGTTCATATTTGGAATATTGTAGACCTCAGGACTCCTTAGGGAGGCATAAAGTCATACTCATAGATGAGAGGGTAGAAGTTAGGAAGGTTAAAACTTGTCACGATATCAAGTCACTACATCAGAGATAAGAGCAGTTAAAGAAGAAGCTGGTCAGGACTTGTTGACAGTGGTGTAACAGCTGGATGAAAAAGGCAGTAGGCACTAATGATACAACGCCTCTAGACAAATAATAATGAGCAAGAATCCGAAAGGGGTGCATTCCATCAGTATGTTAACAGGGAATTTGTGCGGGAAATCCCTGAAATCCAAAGAGAAAGCCACTCAGCATCTGTAGCTTTTGTCAATGTGTTATGGGACTCCAGGTCATCCAGCCAGAGTTTGTGGTGGTAGGATTCTTTTCCCAAAGAAGCATAACTTATAAAAGAAAGCATAGTGGAGATGGAGGAGGAGGATAAGGATGAGGAGGAGGAGGAGGAAGAAGAAGGAGGAGGAGGAGGAGGAGGAGGAGGTAAGAAGAGGAGGAGGAGAAGGAAGAAGAAGAAGAAGGAGGAGGGGGAGGGGGAGGTGGCACAGGGAAGAGGAGAAGGAGGAGGAGGAAGAAGGAGGAGAAAGAAGAAGAAGAAGGAGGAGGAGGAGGAGGAGAAGGGGGGACAAGAAGGGAGAGCAGGAGGAAAACAAGAGGAGGAGGAAGAAAAAGAATCAGCAGAAGAAGCAGGAGAAAAAAGAAGAAGGGGAGGCGGAGGAGAAGAAAAGGAAGAAGGAGGAGGAGAAGGAGGAGAAGGGGAAGGAGAAGGAAAGAAGGAGAAGAAGGAGGAGAAGAAGAAGACTCATAATGGAAATTTGAAGAAATATAGTCCTAGGAACACAAGGAACTTCAGGCACAGGATTTCTTTACAAGAGCAAGAGCACTTCAGGAGAACATGCTACAACAAACAGCACATTTAGAAACCCAGGATTGGCATGGAGACCTTGAATCCAGGGATACGTGCAGCAGATGTTACTAGGACCCAAACCAGAGGCTCAGTGATTACCTCTAGTCTATTTTGTCCTAGGTCATCACCCTGGGAAGGGTCTGGGATGCTCAGCCCCACCCAGCAGAGGTACTGAGGCTGCATAAATTCTTCCTTCTTTAAGCCTGTTTTAAGCTGGGCTCTAGAGTAAGAATGATCCCGGAAAGAAGAGAGTCAAAGGATGCAGCTACAGGGGAGCTAGGAAAAGCACATCAGAAAGGAAGTTAAACAGGGACTGACCCATATCAGGTTTCAGCTTTCGGAAATGATGCTTTAAGCACAATTTTTACAAGCTGGCATCTACCCAAATAGGAACTAGTGAATGCTCTGAGGGAGAAAAAAAAAAGTCACCTGATAAAAAGTTTGAGAAACCAAGGATGTTTCCACTTGAAAAGCAAGGATTTTAGGAGTCGAACAATAGCCATTCTCAAAGAAAAATCTATCATATATAAAAGCATCAATAATTTTTTTTCCTCTGAAACTCTGGAAAAACTAGTACTAAATAATGTAAATCCTAGGGAGGCAGATTTTGTTTCAAATTAAGAAATAACATACTAATCATCAGACTTGCATATAAGCAGGATGGGCAAAAATTAGTAAACTTTCACCTCTTTAATATTTCATTTGAGGGTAGATGACCATAAATATAAAATATGTTTATCAGTGAGAAGTCAGATTAAGTGACCTATAAAATTCAAGCCTCTCCTAAGATTCTGTGAATTTCCATGACATGCATATATTCAGAAGGAAAAAGTAGTAAGAGCACTCCAAGGATGGAAACTGATGCAAAGGCAGGAAGGCAGTTGTTCAAGGGACCCTGAGTACACAAACCTGGCTGGACTAGAGTTTACTCTTTAGAGAGTAGTACTTAGTAAAGTTAAAATATTAGGTAGGATCCAGAGAGTAGAAGACCTTCAATGCCTACCCATATTTTGACTTTAAAGAAAAAAGGAGGGGATAGTATACTGATTTAAAAAATAACAGACTGGTCAGACAGATCTGGGTTCAAATTCCAACCCATCACTTGGTAGCTGTTAGACCTCCCTAAAACCCAATATCCTTATCTGTAAAATAGGGTTAATGAGGATAATGATATTACCCATCCACAGGGTTGTTGTGGGTATTAAATGAGCTACTGGATATAACACCTGCTACATAGTAGCAATTAATGTTAGCTATTACCATTTTTATGAGACAGAGAAGTGGTGGAGGCTGAGAAAGAAAAAAAGAGAGGTGGATGTGGTTGCTCACGCTTGCAATCCCAGCAATTTGGGAGGCCAAGGCAGGAGGATCACTTGAGGTCAGGAATTTGAGACCAGTCTAGGCAACATAGTAAGACCCCTCTCTCTACAAAAATGATAATTTTTTAAAAGGTAGCCAGGCATGGTGGTGTGTGCTTGTGGTCCTAACTACTCAGGAACCTGAGGTGGGAAGATCTCTTGAGCCCTGGTGGTCAAAATTGCAGTGAGCTATGATTATACTACTGCACTCCAGGCTGAGTGACACAGCAAGACCTTGTCCTCAAAATAATTAATTATTTTTTAAAAAGAAGAGAGAGAGGCCATGTGCGGTGGCTCACCTCTGTAATCCCAGCACTTTGGGAGGCTAAGGCGGGTGGATCACCTGAGGTCAGGAGTTCAAGACCAACCTTACCAACATGGTGAGACTCTGTCTCTACTAAAAATACAAAAAATGAGCCGGGCGTGGTGGCGCATGTCTGTAGTCTCAGCTACTCAGGAGGCTGAGACAGGAGAATCAGTTGAACCCGGGAGGCAGAGGTTGCAGCGAGCCAAGATTGCACCACTGCACTCCAGCCTGGGTGACAGAGCAAGACTCTGTCCCCCCCCAAAAAAAAGGGGGAGAGAGAGAGAAAGAGAGGAGATTCCCAGACACACTACCCTTTTAAATGGTAAATGGAAAATATTAAAACTATTATTGATTTGACTCATTCGAGGCTTAACCTGTCATAAATGTATCTTCTTAATTTCTCTCCTTCAAAACTGCTTCAGAACTTTGTATGAAGCGAGAAAGTAATTACAAATATCTTAGATTTTTCTTATTGCATGGTGACAGAATAATCAATCAAAATCTGCAAAATGGAGACATTTTTCAATCTTTAAGGAAGATGTTAAAAACTAAACAAACACAGAAGAACTATGTCCAACTCTTTAAAATGAACAATGAATTCTAATTACCTCTTCTTGAAACACAATTATGGCTTCCTGGAATTGTTTTTCACTTTCCCCTGTGGCGCTCAAAAGCTTTGTGTTTTCATAGAGAGTTTCATTCACAATGCGATCAGACTGAAAATTGAAAAGTATTTTACATTATTCACGCCACAAGGTAGTATTTCAATTTTTCAAACTTCTTCAAAATTTTCAAACATCTGTGCACACACCTTAGATTTGAAAACAGCTCCTAGGATACCTGTCGCCACCTGCAGGAGCAGGATCAGAAGCAAGCCTATGAAAAACTGAAGAAGAGAAAAAGAAATATACATTATCCTCAGTGCATTCAGTAACATCTGGGGACATTCTGGCACAGCACTTCTCTCTACAGCTGGGATTATATCACAGTGAGAGTGTCAGTCACACTCTTCATTTATTCCACTTTTTACTTCAAGCTGAAAATTTTGGGTTCATTACTACTCAGAAAATTGCTCCAGAGACTGATCGAGGAAAGTGGTTCAGGCAAAAAAATTATCAAAACAACCATTGATATCTGTATGATATTGACTAGAGGGAAGTTTGAAAACTTAGATGAGTTTATTTGAGTATTATTTTACTCCTTCCCTTTCTTCATCAAACACAACCTCACACAAACTCAGAATTGGCTTTGAAACAGCATCTCCACTACATTCAGAATCACCTGGCATCTTGTTACATATATAGATTCCTGAAATCGGCTTCAGATATGCTGAATCATAAGTTTGAAGGATGCAGCCCAAAGACAATTAGCTTTTTTTTTAAACAAGCTCCTTGAGTAATTAAATTCTTCAATTGCAAATGAGGCCTTATTGTTCAAAAAGCAATCAGTAGGAATGTTATTAGAGTCCCTTTAAAACTCTGTCTCTACCGTCCCTCACAATAAACAAACAGTTTTGAACATTTTTCTCAGGTACTGATATAATCCTTACTTTATTAGAGGAATAAGTTTAGATTAGACCTGATAAACTTTTATGTCATATTTGTATCTGATAAACACTTGATTTTTTTCTAATATTTTTACTATATCCATTTTCTACTGTATATGTTAAAAGTGAATGCCTGTGAATTATCCAAACCCAATTTATCCTCCTCAATGCTCTCTAAGAGATAATTCTGATTATCTCATTCATTTAAACTTTTTTTTTAGCATGGCATGTAGAACACCTATGATTTTACCACAACCCACACTTGGATTCATCTTCCATCATTTACTGGAAACAGTTTTGCCGGTCTCCTGCCATACCCAAGGCTTCTCAGTTCCCAAACACACCAGCACTGTACTGCCACGTTGTCTTTCCGGAAAGCTTTTCCTACCCTCACTCATACAAATACCTTATTCACTTCTGCCCTGGTTTGAAAATCCCATCCCCTGTCTTGCCCTTTGCTTCTGGGGCCACTCCCACTGTAGCTATTTGCTTACTTATTAACCTTCCCTAGTAGGTTCTAAAGGTCTTATGTATTATTTCGCACAATATCTGACACATAGAGGTATGGCAGTAATGTTGAATGAGTGAATGAATGAATGGATGAATGATTAAAATTTGTCTCCTCTCAGAGTATCCTCCAGTTTCTAAGCCAAACTAAGCCAAATCTAAGCCATATCAGCTTCCACAATCAAACCTTCTAAAGAGAAGTTGGAGTTAGAGTTTCATCAATCATGGCACGTTCTTTTAACAGACAATAGGGATGGGAGAGAATCCTCTGGAGTCTGAAGGTTGGACACTGGGATTTGTTTGGAGAACTCACCAACAGAAGCATGCAGCGACTTTCTTTTATAGCACCGCAGCATCCCAGGAAGCCCAGAATCATGATGATGGCACCTACAGCAATCAATATGTCCACAGCAACGTAGGAGCTAGAGCCTACATCTTCAGAACCAAAAATCTGAAGTAAAAAAGAGATTAATGGCAGAAAATTTATTTCCTTGAAGTTTATTTTGCTCATTCAACAAATATCCATTGAGTGCCTCCTATGTGTCAAGTCCTGTGCCAGGACCCTGAAATACATCAGTGATCTTAAAAAGTACAAATCCTTGCCCTCATGGAGCTCACATTCTATTGAAGTGCTTATATTTTTCTAAAATGATATGATGAAAGCTGGGTGGAAGAAATGTAATAGGTTTTTTTAAACCGTATTTTTAAAAGCTTAGGACAGTTACTTTTACTCTTCTTGATGTAATCTTTGGTTCACATATTTTGTGTATTCTATATAAAGTGCATTATAAAAGCATGTGTTGTTATGGTTTTTAATTCTTTAAAAAGTTCAAGCTCTTTAAACTATTGATAGACACAACAATATGAATTAATTTCAGAGTCATTATGCTGAGCTAAAGAAGCCATAGAAAAAAGTAAATACTGTATGATTCCATTTCTATAAAGTTCAATCATAAGCAAAACTATGGTTATAAAAATCAAAGCAGTGCTTGACTTTGAGCAAGGCAGAAGGGAAAGCAAGAGTTAACTGAAAAGGGACATGAGGGAACTTCCATGGGTTAATAAAAATGCTTTGTATCCTCATTAAAAAGAAATCCAGTTCCTGATATTTCATATCTATTTTATCTCTTTGTTCCCAAAAGCCATAGTCCATAGAGTCATCTAGAAACTCTATTTTGACTGTTAGTTAATGAGATATGAAGGGAAAAAAAATCCTAGAGCCCTTTATAGTGGGTGGGCTACCCATCAGGCATAATTCAGTTCTCCCAACAACACACACATACTCGTCTTCATCACCCTCATAACACTTAGCCTCAGCCACCTCTTGTCCTCGATAAGTGGATTTATCCAGAAGTAAATCACAATTAAAAAGTAAAGCCTTGTGCGTGTCTTATGCATAAATCCTATATGTAGCCCATTTGCCTTCTATAACCTCTATCTACTGGGCTGTCTCTAGATAGAGCACTAGTTCCTAGACTAACTCGAAACCTCTGCCTCCCAGAATGGGCTATATAGCATGTAGGTCAGCTCCCTTAACAGTCAATACAAAAATGACTGCTATGTTCTAATGATATTTTTGTTTCTCAAGGCTTTTTAAATCTACTTATTGCCTAGAGGAAACTTTTATTCAACAGTCAATAGGAAGGAATGTGCTGAAGTTATAAAAGCATTAAAACAAACATCTATATTTTGTCAGGGTCCTAATAAATAAGTTTGTAATCCTGGAACAGTCACCCAACCTAGTGGGCTCCAGTTTCCCCATTTATAAAAGGGAATTGGGTCAACCTCTGTGATAGCCAAGGCCTCCTTTGTCTCTAAAAGTCTATGCTTACAGATAATGTTTCAATTTACGTATTTTGAAAGCTTGGTTAAGTCCTAAAGATTTTTGTTTGTTGGTTTTTATTGTTTTCTCATTAATATTAGAGCTAAAAAATCAGTTTTGTTAATAAACAGGCAGGACATTGGAATCAAAATAAATGTGACAAAAATAGAAGTGTTAGGAAACTAGCTCTATGGACTTCCTGCTAAATATTGCTTCACTAGAATATTGTGGCCAGTACAGGCAAACCCTATGAGAGGATGGAAGCCTCGCTAGCTGGGTTATCAGAACTTAGAAAAGATATGCCAGACATACAAATAATAGTTCAAATATCTACACATGAGGCCAAGATAGTGTGACCAGCACTTGTGCAGCAGGTAGTGAGACACTTCTATGAGGCTAACCTGGGCAGGGTGACCCACTGCCAGAGACTAGCCAGAAAGCAGTGTGTTGACTGTCTAGTGGTCATTGTTCCAAGTCCAGCCCAACAAGTGGTTATTCTTATTCAAGAATGAAGTGGAAATCTGAGTTCAGATGTTTGCACCAGGGGAGGAACAGCAGGGTTTGAAAAGCTGTCTTGAATGAACACTGTGTCCCTGTGTGTCTTAGGACAAGGGGAGAATTTCTAAAGACAGAGAAATTCAGCTGGTCCTGAAAGATGAGGACTCAGGAATCCTCTTTGGATCAGAAGGGACCTCCTGGGACAAGGATGGCTGCTCATGTGCTTTTCCTCATGGTGCTAAGTTTATCCTGAGGTAGAAAAAAGGGTCTTCATGAGACACTTCAGCAGAAAGTTCTGTCATTTCCCTGACATCCTTCTTTTCTGTGTTTATGCTCATGTTTTTCCTTCCAAAACAGCTACCTCTGTTTTTTCACTAACAAAAAATTCAGCTCTTTGCTCTGTCTTGATTCTTTGTCACTGGCTTGAGAAAAATATAAACCAAGCCAATTTTATATAAGTCAAGCTGGTTAATGTTGTCCTGGCAGACACTGGCTTTTGTTCAGTGTGAGAGGCTGATGAAGCGTGAGTCAAAACGTAACTAAAGATGCTGTCTAGCTCTATTAATTCATTCTTATCCCCAGATGTGGAGGAGCACCCTCTCAAGGACAACAGTTCCCCTTTAATACATTCAATATGTGCAATTTTTTAACAGACTAAACACCAAATTTGTTTACCAGAAGCACTGGGAGGGAAAGAAAATACCAACAGGAAGTAAAATTAAAATAAAATAAATTGCAGGCTACACACACATCTTGAAGAGGCCACAGCACCCTGTAAGTAGGTGACTGTTAATCTCTGTGCTTAATTATGAGTCCCAAAGTCAGACTTCAGATTCTACAGGATGGTAATTCTGCACATCTTCAAATGCACTTCTTGGGCTCACACACCAGAGCTCCAGGCCATCAGGAAGTCACAGTTATGGTTATCAGTAGAAAACAATAAGTGAAATCCTGATGGACTAGGATGTTACTAAAAAGCTGCCACACCCATCTCCCACCCAATTTCTTCACCATGGTGAGGCACAGAATGTGGAAGCCGCTAATTGCCACTGTGATCCTCTGGGCTCCCTAAGGGCAGAAAGCAATTTTAAAAGGAAAAGAACAACAGGAGAGAGAGAGAGGAAAAAAACAAAAAAAAAAAAAACAGAGATAGAGTGAGAAAGAAATTTTCAGAAAAGCCACCCACTGCAGCGAAGAAAACAGAGCAGACATTAATTCCCTTTTCATCTTCCTTTCCACTAGGCTGTGTTCAAAGGCATTTAGCTGCACCATGGTGAAATACGTTTTAGTAGAAAATGCATTGTCTTAATTGCTGGCTTAATAAATCTCTCAGTAATTATCAACTTGGAATCAAAATTCTTCTCAGAGAGGAGAAACTCTCTTTATGTGGGCAAATACCTTAAAAAGGCTCTAGCAGTAGAAGAGGTGATCCTTTAGTGGCAAGAGCCCAGAAAACAAAGAACAAATTAATGGCTCTGAATGTGTTAGAATAATAATTTGTGGGGATGGAGCCCCAGAATAGAAGAAGGGAGAGAAAAGAATAAAAGCACGGGAGCCAGGAAATGGTGCCAGGGTGGTATTATGTTCCGTAAAACTGACAGAACAATCCCCGCACACTCGCCCCTCCCTCTTCCCCCAACCCTTTCCACATTTGTGATACTGTGGCATGGAACAGATACCACACGTATGGGGTCCAATAGCTGGAGCCAGAATTAACCATACGAAATACACTTCCTCCAGACCTGTAGATCTGGGTAAGAGCTTTGGCACTGGGCACGGAATGGTGTGTGGGGGAGGAAAATGGGTCATGTTCATCTTATACATATAGCAATAATCTGGACATCCCCAGAGAATTACTGAGTTTCACCAAGTTAGATTAGCCACTACTGGCAAGTGGTTACCTTCACTGCCAGTTGCCACAGGTAAATAACAAGTACCCTTGTACCTTGTTGCCTTTAAAATACAGATTCAAATTATTCTTCTCCAAGAAAACTTCTCATTTTCTTTCCTTTTGGACCAACCACATTGGGATCAACTAAATTATTGTCAAAACCTTCTACTATAAAAATTATTCTTCTTGGTGAGAAGGAGAGGTGGCCTATATCCTCAATATAGGCCTTAAACAAATAGTAAAGGAGGAAAATTTCCACTTTGGCCCCTTCCCACCTGCATCTCACTGAATTTTTTTGAATTTTTGAATAACACCTCCTCCATTCTCTAGAAAGATTTTTCCACATCTAGCACAGTGCCAGCCACATAGTAATTTTAATTGATTGAACTGAATTATAAAATCACATAACAGCACAAGTGATTACATGAAGCAGTTAAGAAAAATGTTTTAGACATGTTTATTACTATTATTGTTATAACTTTCATTATTATAAATGAAATAAACTACATTGGGGAAAGGGTGACTTGTTTTTGCATACTTACTGCTTGAGAGTCATTGCTTACTCGTACCCATATTGCTAATGCTAGGATCAAGATACCACATAGCTGCAGAAAAAAACAAACAAACAAAAAGAATACAATTAGGATCATATGAAACTCTATTTCCACACCCTCCTATCTATCCGGTGACAGTAGTTCATCATCGACTATACTATCACAACCTGGAAGACATAAATGAGGCATATTCATATACAGATCATTGTTGAAATGTTAAATTGCAATGTGTAAGTTTGATGAGAATAATTCTATTTCTCATCCACAACTCACTCACAGCTCTATGGACAAGAAGTTATTTCCATTAGGCCTGGAAAGATTATTTTTCCATGTAACTCTAGCCCTGTGTTTCTGCTAGATTTTAGCATACAAAAGAAAAGTCACAACAGTTTAAAGATAAAATATCCTTATCATGCCTCTGGGCTTGTTTGTGAGAAGCTATGTTGGACCAGGAAAAAAGGGAATGACGGAATAGTCACCATTCATTTAAGATTCGACAGGAAGGGAGATGTTGGGATAGAGGGGGAAAAAGTAAAACATACGACAAGATGTGCAGTTAAGCAACAAGGCTATATAATAATCAACACTTTTTGAACCCAAATAAACTCTCTTAAAAACAAGCTCTTTTAGGTGGTAAAGTTTACTCACAGAGAAGGAACAATGAAAGACAGAACTTGAAGTCTTAAATTCCTTTAATGATTTTACCAGATTATTTAATTTGGACCAATGCCAACACAATAAAATGTAAAACACATTTTACTTTAGTGTAAGGAAAACTCTTGTCATTCAGGGTTTAAAAAAAAAAGTTATGCATTGTGGCTTCAAAAACAAAAATCAAAGATCTATTATTAGATAGAGATGTTAAGAGCTGTGTCTGGTAACATACCAGACACAGCAGGCCTTGGGGGACTTAGTAGACAATTCTGACCTTGCTGTGCTCTGACAGACAAATGTCCTTGGAGCATCATTGCTTTCGTGCATGGTTGAGACATACGCCTAGAACCCCAAGACAGCACTTTTAATGGCTTCTCATTGAGTTTGCAGGGGAAATAGAGTCAAGGGCTCTGTTAAGGAATAGGAAGCACAATGAGTAGTTGAGTAACCATAGACTCTGTGCTCCCTAAAAGACCTTGAAAATCATCTAGGTCTAAACCTCTCATTTTGAATGGAGAAATTGGAATCCTGGGCGCTAATTATTACATCATGAAAACCCGGAGCAATTCCTAACCAATCTGCCCTTACAACATACTTCAGCTCCTACAAAATAACTAATGCAATTAAAAACCAAAGCTCTTTAACCACCAAATAACCTATGCAATTATCTCATACACACACATAGACACACACACACCATAAAATACAAATGATTAAAAAACACAGCTTTCGTGTTTGAAAACTTTCCTTACTTCTCTAACCCTGAGATTTATAGCATCCTTTCACAAAATTCTAATTTCATTTGCAAACAAAGACAAATGCTCATTTTAGCAGTCCTTTGTTAAACAGTTTGTGAGTGATAATTTATGTCAAATGATAATGAGACCCTCTGGGATTTTCAGTAATTTCATACCAACTGAATTTTTTGTTTGTTGTTTAGTTTGTTCACTGATTATCTTCTTTCGTTTTCTTCTCTTTTCACAAGCAGATTCATAATGATTGGCTTAATAGTCATTCTGGCCTTCATCTGTAACTAATGAACCTTGTAGCTATTATGAGTAGCATTCTTTCCTGATATTTGTTAAACTATCAACGAAAAAACTTTAAGAATTCTTAGTAAGAGCTTAGTAAGAACTCAGTGTGATATTTTTTAAAACTTTTTTTGTTCGTGTATCACTATTCACTTTTTCAAGGTATTTAGATATCAGATCATTCATAAATCTTATTAAATCAATCATATCTGCCCCTCAGATAGCAACTTTTAGTCTTCTCAGCCACTGAAAATTTTCTGTAACATTAACATTTAAAAGAAAGAGTAACCAGTTGTTTCAGAAGTCAAAAATATTTTGCCCAACTAATCTTCAGAATTAGACAATCTTTCTCAGGAACTTTGAAGTTGGCCAAAGTATCATTTCCACCCCTAACTCTTATCTTTTCTTCAAACTTCATTTTAAAAATGAAACAAATGTTTAGAGTATATCATTCTCATTTGAGTGGAGAAATTCCCATGTAAATATCAGTCTAATATCATGAAATTATTCGTAACTTTGTTGAATGACTTTGAAAGTCAATTTATTTTCTATCAAGAATGACCATCCTAGAGTCATGAATAATACTAAACTATTTCATCCCATTGTTAAAAGATTGACCATCATAATGGTACTTGGAGCCCTTTACCAAGTTTAGCTTTTAGAGCTTTTCCCCTAATGTTTTTATACTATTTTAAACAATTAAAAGTATAAATTAATAAATAAATGCCTGCTCTCTACTTTCGTTAATAACATTGTAAAAGTAAAATGGGTTAGTATGGTGGTTCCAGGACCCTGTGGAACTGACTAGGCCTACCTTTCCCCTGCTTCTGGTCTCTCTTTGAGAATTGTTCTGGTTTTCATTCAGCTTTCATGGAACAGCCATCATTTTATGGAATTTGGATGCAATTGGTCTGGACCAGCATCCTAAGAAATTAGGCAATTTTGATATTTGCTTATAATGGACTGAATTGTGTCTCCACAAAATTCATATGTTGAAGCCCTAACCTCCAATGTATCTGTTTTTGATGATAGGCTTTTAGAAGATAATTAAGATTAAATGAGGTCATGAAGATGGGGTTATAATCTGATAGAACTGGTGACCTTATAGGAGATAAATCTTTCTTTCTCTACTCATACCCAGGGAAAGGACATGTGAGAACATGAGAAGATGGCCACAGAAAGAGGGTCCTCACCGGAAACTCAGTTGGCTGGCACCTTAATCTTAGCCTTCCTAGCCTCCAGAACTATAAGAAAATTAATTTCTGTTGTTTAAGCCACCCAGTCTACAGTATCTTGTTATGAGAGCCCAAGCAGATGACTAAGAACAGGCAGATGCTGAAGACCATAAAATATCAGGAAAAAAAAGGGGGCGGGGGAAGATACCATCCAGAAGAAAGATAAATGGTAGAATGTTGATTTGTCCTTTTCTTTGATAATGTGTCTCCAATCATCCCTACTTCTTCCCTCCAAATTGTACCCTTTTATTTGGTGTTTATTGAAGTATGTTTGGAGAATGCTGAAAATGCTGTGTTAGGAGGAGGAGTGGATTTTGAACTACATCATTATTGGTCCCAAAATGGACACCTTTTAGGTAAGCTTAAGAAACTCTTCTTGTGCTGCTCCTGAGAGGATAAAAAAGAATAAGAAAATATGCAAGTGGATAACTACAAGATTTGTTTTTATGATAAACACAGAACACTAGAGGCGACTCCATGATTATAGGGAACAAGGATTCCGAAAGCCCTAACATACTAGGACTGTACTGCTGCTGCTACTGTTATTGTTCATTTTCAAGTTTCTTTTACTAAACATTTATTTAAAAGTCTTAGTTCAATTGTATTGTGGTAAGAGAATGCAGACTGTAGGATTGTTACTTGTGAGTTTTTTTGCATTTCCTTCATCAATTTCTAAAGATTCAGAGATACTAGAAAAGACAACAAAGTCTCAAGAGGGTACAAAGTTTATTAGAAATTTAGTAAATATACTTTATTCATTAAATCATTTAGATCCCCTGTATCCATGTTTTTTCTTTTCCTTCCTGAGTTATCAAAAACTGAGAGGCAGGTTAAGTTGTGTTAAGCTGAATTAATGGAGTTTGCATTTACTATTCTGTATCTCTAACAGTGTTCCCTCCATATAATCCAATAAATGCTATTTAGTGTAATCAGTCTTGGGCTTTAGCGCAGAGTAAATGTTACTAAATTGCTATTTTCTATTACATCTCTTTCCAAATATCCTTCCAATCTACATTTGAGATAATAAAAAATATAACTATTTAGACATGTGACTTCTTTATTTCCAGACCTAAAATGGTTAGCCATTTAACCATGATTTTCCCATGCTTCAATTATCCATTTTTACTTATACCTTAATCATTTTGGATATGTTTCAGTAAATTTTACAGTGTGAATACCTGAAGATCTCTTTCTCTCTTATTCATTTGTGAAAGGCTCTGAATACTCAGCAGACATTGTTTCATTGTCTTCTGACTTTCAGGGTTACAATAGGAGAAGAATATCACCAGCCTTATTTTCGTTCATGCATTATTTGCTTGTTTTCTTTTTTGTCAGTTGTATCTAGACATTTGTAAGATGTTTATTTATCTTTTAACTAAGTTAGTAGTTTTCTTAACATTTATTTAGGCATAGATGTCTTCTTTCACTGGGGTAGATCAGGCACTTGCCATCTGCATACAGGTATGTTTTCAGCTCCACAAAATTTCCATATATTAATTTGATTATTATTTGTGTTCCATTTATTTTGTCCTCTTTTTCAGGAGTACAGCTTATTTTGGGTTTCCATTCTCTGTTGTCTGTATCTATTATCTTCTTTCACAATATTCTGATTTCTTATTTGATTTTCCTGTGGGAAAGCTTATCAGTTTGGGATTCTATGTCACTGTCTTTATTTAATGTGATCTCTACAGTGAAGTTTAATTCTGCTATTATGTTTGTAGTTTACTTGCAGTCCTTACATATTTTATCCATTTCCCTTTTTATCTCATCCCGTTGTTTTCCAATAAATTTTATTTTCTCTTATGGCCTCCATTCACTGTTTCATGAGAGGTTACTTTCTAGCATCACATTGTGGATACCAATTTCTACATACATTTTTTCAGGATTCTAGAATATTTATTTCAGGGATGTGTGCTTGTCCTCTAAGTCTTCAGGGTGGCAATATCTTTCACTTGTTCAACAGTATTTTTTATTAGGTCTTATGCTAAATTTCCTTGAAAAAGATGAGACCAATTCTGATTTAGAGTTCATTCAGAGTAGAATGTGCTGAGGCAGGTGGATCACCTAAGGTCAGGAGTTCAAGACCAGTTTGGCCAACATGGTGAAACCTTGTCTCTACTAAAAATACCAAAAAAATTAGCCGAGTGTGGTGGCACGTGCCTGTAATCCCAGCTACTCAGGAGGCTGAGGCAGGAGAATTGCTTGAACCCGGCAGGTGGAGGTTGCAGTGAGCTAAGATCACGCCATTGCACTCCAGCCTGGGCAACAAGAGCAAAACTCTTGTCTCAAAAAAAAAAAAAAAAAGAGTAGAATGTGCATTCCCTTTACAAGCATGGCCTGATGTAGTTCTGATCTACTAAGCCTCATGCGATATTGGATTTTCTGATGCTGTAAACCAGCAGAGTAAATTAAAATCTTCAACTTTTAGCAGACTCTGCAATCATGGTTTTTAAAAAATCTTCAGCCCCATATTGTTGCAGGAAGTCAGGGACCCCAAACAGAGGGACTGGCTGGAGCCGCGGCAGCGGAACATAAATTGTGAAGATTTCATGGACATTTATCACTTCCTAAATAATACTCTTATAATTTCTTACACCTGTCTTACTTTAATCTCTTAATCCTGTTATCTTCGTAAGCTGAGGATGTACGTCACCTCAGGACCCTGTGATAATTGTGTTAACTGTATAAATTGATTGTAAAACATGTGCGTTTGAACAATATGAAATCAGTGCACCTTGCAAAAGAACAAAATAACAGTGATTTTAGGGAACAAGGGAAGACAACCATAAGGTCTGACTGCCTGTGGGGTCGAGCAAAAAGAGCCATATTTTTCTTCTTGCAGAGAGCCTATAAACGGACATGCAAGTAGGGAAGATATTGCTAAATTCTTTTCCTAGAAAGGAATATTGATATTAATACTATGGGGAAAGAATTGCATTCCTGCAGGGAGGTCTATAAACAGCTTCTCCGGGAGTGTCTGTCTTATGTGGTTGAGATAAGGACTGAAATACGCCCTGGTCTCCTGCAGTACCCTCAGGCTTACTAGGATTGGGAAACTCCACCCTGGTAAATTTGGGGTCAGACCGGTTCTCTGCTTTCAAACCCTGTTTTCTGTTGTTTAAGATGTTTATCAAGACAACACATGCACCGCTGAACACAGACCCTTATCAGTAATTCTGCTTTTGCCCTTTGCCTTATGATCTTTGCTTTTGCCCTTTGCCTTGTGATCTTTTTTGGACCCTTATCAGGAGTTTCTGATTTCGTCCTTGTCCTGTTTCCTCAGAAGCATGTGATCTTTGTTCTCCTTTTTGCCCTTTGAAGTATGTGATCTTGTGACCTACTCCCTGTTCTTGTACCCCTTCCCCTTTTGAAATCCTTAATAAAACTTGCTGGCTTTATGGCTCAGGTGGGCATCACGGTCCTACTGATATGTAATGTCACCCCCGGCAGCCCAGCTGTAAAATTCTTCTCTTTGTACTGTTTCTCTTTATTTCTCAGCCAGCTGACACTTATGGAAAATAGAACCTACGTTGAAATACTGGGGGCACGTTCCCCCAATACTATATTAATGGTGTTTATTGTATTGAGTGTTGACATGGTTTAGCTGTGTCCTCACCCAAATTTCATCTTGAATTGTATCTCCCATGGGACCCAGTGGGAGATAACTGAATCATGCGGGTGGTTCCCCCATACTGTTCTTGTGGTAGTGAATAATTCTCATGAGATCTGATGGTTTTATAAGGAGAAACCCCTTTCACTTGGCTCCCACTCTCTCTTGCCTGCCACCATGTAAGATGGGACTTTCATCTTCCACCATGATTGTGAGGCCTCCCCAGCCACATAGAACTGTGAGTCTATTAAACCTCTTTTTATTTATAAATTACCAGTCTCAGGTATGTCTTTATCAGCAGTGTGAAAACAGACTGATACAAGTGTTAAGTGTACACTCAATGTGTCTCCATGATTGCATTCACGTGCATCTTATTTTTTTTTTTTTTTGAGATGGAGTCTCACTCTATCACCCAGGCTGGAGTGCAGTGGCGCGATCTTGGCTCACTACAAGCTCCGCCTCCCGGGTTCATGCCATTCTCCTGCCTCAGCCTCCTGAGTAGCTAGGACTACAGGTGTCAGCCACCACGCCCAGCTAATTTTTTGTATTTTTAGTAGAGATGGGGTTTCACCGTGTTAGCCGGGATGGTCTCGATCTCCTGACCTTGTGATCCACCCACCTTGGCCTCCCAAAGTGCTGGGATTACAGGCATGAGCCACCGCGCCTGGTCTCATGTGCATCTTCTAACAAGCACTCAATATAACTGCTGCAAATTCTAATTTTTAAATAACTCTAAATTTAGGGAAAATAAATCAACCACATTGTTTTCCTTACACAAATAGGGCCTCAGTAACCACTAAAAGCCTACATTCAAAACATGTAGAGAGAGATGAATGTTTGGCATTTAATCTGTATCCTGATGTTTCTGAATCAAAAAATGACACAAATTCAGTAATATTCTTACCATATTGTTTCAAAAGTATAACGTTCATATAAGTAACAGTTGTAGACCTGTGCATCCATTTGAAAAGCCTGGGAAAAATACAAATGACAGCCCACAAGCCACAGGGCATTATATCAGGAAGTTATAACTCAAGGTAATATGCACAGACAACATGTATCCTATATTCCTACCTTGACAAATGTGCCCACTTAATCACCTGGAGGAAAAGGTTTGATTTAGAATTCTCAGGGCATTTGAGCAGGGAAATTTGGGTCCTATATTCAAAGTGGAAGCCAGCCTTGGGGCTGACATATCCCTCTACTCCTGCATATGCCTCACCCTGTGAGATGAGAAGAGGATCAGAGTAGGGCTAAAATTATATTTACCATTTGAAAGCCCATTATGTATAAAATACTGTCACAGTATATTCTAATAGTTGTAAATGAAAAAGCAATTACGATGTTTGGAATCAGGAAAAACATGTTAATTGTGCTATTATTGATGGTCAGTCCTTGGTTACAGGTTTTCATAAAATAGCTTAGTTAATGTTTCAAATTAATCCTGCCAGGTAAAGTGATCATTTTTATTTTACAAATCCAAAGACTGGAGCATGCAAAAGCCAAGGGACATGTTCCAGAACAAGAAGGGGTAGATTCAGGATTGAAATCTCAGTCAGTCTGTTTACAAAATCCACTTTTTCCCCATTCCCTTAATTCATGATAGAAGAATTTCTGCCTTATCATATTCTTGCTATCTTATTTCCTCTTCGTTTTAAAACTCAACATTTAAATTTATTCATCACTATGCCAAATAGTTACATATTTCTGCTTCATAAAAACACCTATAAAATACTGGTTGAAATGTCTTTTTCTTAAACATTTATCTAGTTAATTCCTACTTCTTTATATATATTAACTTATTTAATCATCACCACAAACCCATGAGGTAGATACTACTACTATCCCCATTTTTACAGATGAGGACAAATAAAGCACAGAGAGGTTAACCAATTTCCCCAAAGAAGCACAGCTACTGATGAAGGAGCTGATGTTTATCCTGCTCTATCAACCAGTGGACTCTAATGCCTTTTGGTGCTGTTTTAGCTCCATGCTAATTACATAGGGTCAGGCAACCACTGTATTTACAAAATTCATACACTTCAGCCATTGTTAGGTCTTCATTTTGAAAGATTCCATCAACGGACACAATAAGATATAATTGTGTCCTATTCCTTTTAGTGTACCACCATCTCAGGGTTATGTCTGCTTTGCCTCCAATCTTTTAATTGCTCTCAGCACATCCAATCTCAATAAAATACAATGATGAATATCGAAATGCTGGATCCTGGACTCTCTCCAAGTTCAGACTTCTTTCTGCGCTCTTCAAACCTCGTCATGCACTGGCTTCCTTCAGTTACTAATACATTCAGCTTTACAATTTGGCTCCTCCCTATGACTCATTTGGGATTGATAGTGTACCTCATTCTTCTTTCCCTCATTAAGAACTGGCCTCTCTATAGCTCTCTGTCTCTGGTCATTATTCTACTGCATCCACGAGCCAAAGGCCCCATGTTTCATACTTACTCAGACCCCTAAAGCACCATAAGCATCTACGATATTCCTAGGCTTGAACTATCTGAGAGGAGCATTAAAAAATTGGGGCATTTCATCTATTTTTGAAACAAGACTAGGGAAATAGGTTTCGTACCTATAATTTATCTATTATCTGCAGCACCTCCAGTTCTCTAACTTGCATCAAACTCTAGCATGAGTGATCAGGAATAACTTTCACTTTTACATGTTTTTCTTCAATTAGTGATTCTAACAAATGGAAATCACCATATACTTATGGGGCATATCTCAAGTTGTCCCCCAAAAGAACCTGGTCTGTTTAGATTAAATGACCACATGCATATCTAAGAGATATTTTAACATCGGCTCTACTTTGCAAAGGCTCAGTTTTGCAAGTTATACCAGAAAGAATGCATTTGAAAACATAAGGCCCTGGGCATCTATAAGAAAACCACATCAGTGGGGTCATTAAAATTTTTACTTAAGTAAACATTAGGAATGTGACAAATTGCTAATTTCCTATGAAGGATTGTAAAATTCCAACTGAGAGCTCAGAGCTGAGCATAGACGGGAGAGTAGATATAGGAACCTTTCCTAACCTCAGAGATTCCTCCTGCTGCCTATATTTGAATTTAAAATATTGATGTCACCTCTTGGCTAAGAAGTTATCACTGGTTTTTATAATTGTTGCTCTCACTGAAAGACTCCATTTCAAAATCTCTTATGTAGAGATTGTAAATCCGACCACATATGCTGGTGGTAGGAATCACCAAGGCACGTTAGTTAGAAAGATCTAACTGAAAACTACAGCATCAGAAAGACTTGTCTCTGTTATCAAAGAAACAAACAGATAATGTAACCATAAAATAATCAGAGCTCTGGCCAGGCGCGGTGCCTCATCCCTGTAATCCCAGCACTTTAGGAGGCAGAAGTAGATGGATCACCTGAGGTCAGGAGTTTGAGACCAGCCTGGCCAACATGGCAAAACCCTGTCTCCACTAAAAATACAAAAAGTTAGCTGGGCATGGTGGTGCGTGCCTGTAATCCCAGCTACTCGGGAGGCTGAGGCAGGAGAATCGCTAGAACCTGGGAAGCAGAGGCTGCAGTGACCCGAGATCATGCCGCTGTATTCCAGCCTGGGCAACAGAGCGAGACTCTGTCTCAAAATAATAATAATAATAATAATAATAATAATAATAATAATAATAATCAGAGCTCGCCAGGAAAGCAATGATAATATCTGGGTGTGGCATGGTACAGACCTCTACAATCTACCCTGAACCCTATCAAGGTAGGTAGGTAAATAATCCTGAATCTATAACCTACCCCTTCCTAGACTATTATTTTGATAATTTAGATCTATTCCAAATTTCTGATTAGCTGTTTAATGAAACACTGACCTCTGATGTCTTCATAATAGCTATTAGCACTTTCCAGGATGTTTTAATACAACAAAGATATATTTTAACTGTTTCATTATTTGAAGATTGCTACTGGTTTCAGTGCTTTGGAACATCTTTAATAAAATAGGAGCCTTGCATTTATTAGCATATTAATATTTTGGTTTGTTTAAATGTGCCATATATATTCTGTATTACATAAGGAAAACAATGACTATAGCTCTTTAAAGACAGATATCAGAACTTGGTGGAGAAATGGCTGATTCGAGGTCTGGACAGGAAATAAGCAAGTGATCTGGAACATGTCAAACCAAATACTAAAGAGGCTATCAAAGTTATTAGGATCATTTCAAAAGAACTTGAGTCACCTTGAAGAAGCTCCTGATGGCCAGAGATGGAACAAATTGCACATTAATAAGGGTAAACATTGTAATGGAGCTGATCTATTGTTTCATAAGGATACTTAAAGAAATACTAACTTATCACTGTTGGATAATATTAGTAACTTAACTCATCACTTGCAATCTGGTAAGTAAAGAGTGAGAAAGAAGTATTTTATGCCACTTAAAAAATATTAAAAATGGGATACCCAGGTAATTAAACAGTAAATGAGAAGTTTCTCCTTATAGAAAGTGTTCCAGCTAATAAAGAAAGAAAAGTTGATGAAACTAGAATATCATCACTTTGAACCACTTAATGAACTAATGATGGATTTTGGCACTTGACCATCAATGGCTACGAACGTCACAAAAGAGGGACACAATCAAACCTCCAGTGCCTCCTCATGAAAGAATACAAAATCACTTATGATTGTCGTGTGAAAAAAAAAGGACCTTGAATTGTATCAGGCTGCACCACAGGTATGCAAACAGCAAAATCCAGACTGTGGGCAATGTGATAAAACAAACAACACACACCAGTGCATAAAATTTCAGTAGGGAGAAAAAGAGATGTTGACTGAGGGAGAATCAACAGATTAAAATAGACATGAAACATATATTAACCAACCACACAGTGTGGACCTTATTTAGATCCTGATTCTAACAGGAACATTTATGAGGTAATCGGAAATTTCAGCCCTGAATGGGCTCAAATTTGACAGTTTGATTAAAATTGTCAAATCAATTTGACAATTGATTTAAAAAATTCTTATTAAATTTTTAAAGTGTAATAATGATATTGTGGTAACATTTTTTTTTTTCTGAGATGGAATCTCACTCTGTCGCCCAGGCTGGAGTGCAGTGGTGCGAGCTCGGCTCACTGCAACCTCCCCCTGCCAGGTTCAAGCAATTCTCCTGCCTCAGCCTCCCAAGTAGCTGGGACTACAGGGGCGTGCCACCATGCCCGGCTAATTTTTCATATTTTTAGTAGAGGCAGGGTTTCACCATGCTGGCCAGGCTGGTCTCAAACTCCTGACCTTGTGATCCACCCATCTCGGTCTCCCAAAGTGCTGGGATTACAGGCGTGAGCCACTGCGCCTGGTTGTGGTTACATTTTTTCAAGAATTATTATGTTTCAGAGATATATACTAAAATGCTTACAGACAAAATTATATATCTGAGATGTGCTTCAAAATAATATGGGGTGGGGGAAGTGAATACAGTAAAAATGGAGAAAGATTGGCCATCTTTCTGTGGCCACCTGGGCTGGCCAATGGAGTTGATTACCTATCCTATCTTCTTTAGTGAATATTCAAAGTTCTCCAAAAAAAAAAAAAAAAAACAAACAAAAAAAAAACTAGAAACAAAACAAAACCAAAGAATACAGGTCTTTCTTTTTTTGTATAACCTGCTCCCAATGTTTAATCAATTTAAGTATCTCAAGGGAAGAAATGTATCAGAACTAACTAAAAAACTGGCATATATGTAGCATGAGCTACATTAAATATTTGCAAAAGCAGCCCATTTTTTTAACCTAAAAACAGCAGCCCATTTTTTTTGCCTTCTTTATTTTACTTTTTTAAATATTTACTTACTTATTTAAAAGTCACCAATATATCCATTTGTACTCATTAGCACTACTGATCATTGAATGGAAAATCAGTCTATACAATAAAGCTGTATTCATGTAGTTAAGTTTAATTAAGTTCATCATTATTTTAATAGAACAGAAATATAGCAACACATAGGTATGAGATGTCTGTTTACTAAAGATCAGGTACAAAAACAAAACCAGAGTTCTTTCATCCTTGGAGTGGATAAGGTAGCTTTTAATCCAGTATACAAAATACTTTTTTCATTTAAATACTTTGTGCTATTTCCACTGATTGACATTTAAACAATCTTTAATTGTACCATATATGCTAAAAATGATAAGGTCAATGTCCCAACATCCCAGCCTGCTCTTTTCATACCTTGTTTTTCCATTATCTATTGATAGATATCAGTTATCAATTTGTTGGTTATGTCTATGTCAATGGACTTTCAAGAGAAACATAACAAATTGCTAAAATACAAATCCTGTCAATTAAAAGGTAGGGTGATGACACATCAAAATACTGACTTTAAAATGCCAATACATATATATATCCACGGTCTTAGTTTGATTTTCTTATGATTTAGGAATTTTATCATTTCCCCCTCAAGTTTTTCATGACCCATTTTTTTTGTCTTTGAGGCTCTGAAAATGATCTTTATTGTCCCACACCCTGCGATTCACCTGTTCAAACCCAGAAGTGAAGGGCGGGAATCAGGACCCGGGCTCCGGATGGAATCAGACCATGTTTTTACCACAGAGTCCTTAAATTAGGGAGGCCTGCTTGATATACAACTAAGGAAAATTGTCCTTTAATTAAGGGGCATTTGTGTTCCTCTGTGATTTTTTTTTGCAGCAATATGAAAACATTTATGAAATGTTTATCCTCACATTCTGAAGTGCACTTTTTTGAGTCCTTGGCTCATTTTCAATTACTGAAATAACCAAAGAAAGAACAAACAAATCCAAACAAGTACATGGAAAATACATTTTCCCCCTTCTCTTATTTCTCTAGTGTACAGTCTGTTCTTGTTTATGATATTTATATCAAGATCCCCTTTCTTGCATAAAATTGATAATTAAAAGGAAAACACTTACCCAGAACAAGAAGTTGAAGGTAAACATAGAATATTTTATACAGGCACTCACACCTGCCATTTCGGAAAAGGATTAGGAATCCAGATGCCGTGAATTTAACTATTCGTTACAGGCTTGTCCTGCAATATGCTCTGGAGCAACTTGCCTGCAGAGATTTCTGTATCCACGGCTTCAGAGCAGAAAGAGAAAGCAAAGAAGTAGAGGGAGGAATAAAAAGTTATTAAACTGGATAAAAAAATTAACCCACACATTTAAATATCGCAAAGGCTATTAACCCACACATTTAAATATCTCAAAGGCTATTAACTCACACATTTAAATATCGCAAAGGCTATCTCCAGGCAAGTATGTTCCTTTGCTTGTCATAGCTCCTGGGGCACTGGGCCAGGATATTTATGATCCTTTCTCAAAAACTGCCTCCTCTAAAGTAAACAGATATCAAGTGAAGGGAATGGCACTGGATCAGGCAAGAGAATGGCACAGTGCTACTAAGTTCTTGGCTTTCAGAAACCACTGCCTGACTTCCCCGCCCTCCATTTCAACTATGGGGAAATAAGGTTGTTTTGTTCTGAGTTAAATGGACATTGTATCTCTACTCATTTTTGCATTGCATTTTCTCAATACTACAAAATTCCTTCTAAATGCAATAAAATGCATTTAGAAATCTGCAAAATATCAAAGCTTAGACATAGCAACCTGTTATCATTAAACCTAGAATAGTAAAATAACCATTACATGTATCTGCCCTCCAAAACATCTAAATTTATTTCAAAAGAATTCCAGAGCTGCCGTAAATACACCACAGAAATTGCAGAGGGAGAGGCAGCCTTGCCTATCATGATAAGACCATTTGCTTTTTATCTTTATTTCTTTATGATACAAAGGGAAAGAAATCATAAAGTGGCACTGACTGCAACATTGTTTTCATTTTATAATGCGTAGTCATTCTGATAGCTTGGTTTGTTTTTAAGGTGGACACTGTAATTTCCTTCCTCTGATAAATTGTATCTAGCAACAGCTGTTCTCCACCAACTCAGTTTCTGGATTCCAGGTCCTCCCGGACAAAAAAATTCAAAATGGGAAGGTGGTCATGGATCAGTGACCATAGATTTTACTATTTGTTTCTAGTGCTAATAGAAGGCAGCTGTCTCAGGTAAAGGCAAAATGCTCCGACATCATCAGGGAGGTGTGGACTGCTTTGTGTAAACAGCCTGGGTCATGTTAGTTTCCACATCCTGCCTCTCAAAGGGAGTTCTTCTCCCCCTAAATAAAAGAACCCTCTACTTTAAAAGGTTGTTGAGAAAATTATTCTTTAGAATCTTTGCTAAGTTTTACACGATAAGCAAGCATGAACTCCTTACAAAAGAAAAATATTATTTCTAATTTTCACTGGCATACAATGTTTTTGAAACAATTCT
The DNA here is from genome assembly GCF_000001405.40 of Homo sapiens. Taxonomy (NCBI): domain Eukaryota; kingdom Metazoa; phylum Chordata; class Mammalia; order Primates; family Hominidae; genus Homo; species Homo sapiens. The sequence goes on from NC_000012.12 coordinate 71,159,037, forward strand.
ACTCCCTGACTACAAATACAATATATTTTAATGCATTATCAACAATAATATATAGCGTTAAAGGCCAAATTTAGGATTAATTCCAAAAATAATGGCTTAATATATAAATCATCACTAAAATTGTTTGTGTTCTCTTTCCTACTAGAAAATGGATAGTTTCACAACCTTCTATTGAGATATTTTGTATATAGAATAATCCAAGGCTGAAAGAATAATTTCAGATTGAATGAAAACCAAAATTGATTCATAGTCCCAGAAATGATTATTTATCAGAGGCTAAAATTAAAAAAAAATTACAGATTTAAATGCTGCTTTGTTGAAAAGAATGTATTGAATACTACCAAATTTTAGTTTGAAATAGATATTTTGGTGGATGCTGAACATCCTTAAAAAGAATACTGTGTAGTCTTTAGTTGAATCACTCTTGAACTCTGTAACACAAAAATCAATGGATGTGTTTGTACAGGAGAATGACTGTGTAATAGAACCCCTAGTCTAATTCAAAACCTATATGAAACAGTTCACTCCTGGAAATTCCTATTCCTATTAATGTTATAATCACACAACACTCTCCCAGGCTGAATTTGTACAGATATTTTGTATTTCTCTTTCTTTCCATCCAATCACTCTTACTGGTCTGTGTAGCTCCTAAATTACTGTCAAAACTATTTCTTCCATCTCATCCTTTTGCATTTCATTATTCAGTCCTTTATCATTTCTTACTTGAGCTGTGTCAATAGAATGAGAATTAATTTCCCTGGCAGTTTCTCCCAGTTCCTCTCTGCCTTAGCACTTTAAAATTCTTTTTGAGAAATACTTATTGATTAGGTAATGATAATGATGAAAACCCAATCTAAGGATATTTTCCTTTTACCTACAAGATAAAGTTCAGATTCCTTAAAGTAGCATTTACAGCACACAGCAAACAAGTCCTCCACCCACTTTCCAGAATTTTGTCCCTCCCCTTTCTTCCTAGGCAGCCTCCACTTCTAGGCTCCATAACCACAGAATTATTTCCCAGGCCTAGAACACACCTTTGGATTTTATGCCTTGTTCCTTCTGCCTGGAATATCCTTTCCCACCTTCTCTATTGCAACATCCCTGTGGAGCCTTCCCTTCCTCATCCTCTGCCCCCACTCTGGGCAGATTTACTTGCTTCTCAGTCCTCAAGTCCATTATTATTTGAACAGACCTTAAATCTACAATTGCCACTATATCACATTTATTTGTGTCTCTCCCCCACATTTGATTCTATATGCCTGAAAAGCAGAAATCTTACCCTATTCACCTCTGTACCTACAGTAGCTGGCATTAGAGCTACAGAGATTTGCAATGGCAGCCAAGCTCCTCAGAAAGTTCAACTAGTGATTTCCTCATTAGGTTCTCTAGGGAACTACCAATATGCTACCTCTGCCTTTAAAAAATCTATTAGGTCAAGAAAAACAGTTTATTAATTTCAGGACTTGTCAGAGCCTTCAACTTTCTAATATTCAAGGAGGTGATATATAGCAATTCTGAAATGAATATAATCTCAGAACATATTTTTGAATGACATATTCAGGACTGGTGTTACAGAACACACATACGCACTTACAGAAGCACTGTTCTAGACAAACTCTCACTCTTACACCTGAGAAAAGAGCAGCATAGGCAGATTGAGTAGCCCAAGTTCACAAAACTGGTTAGATCTCCTTCTAGAAACAAGGTCACAGGATTATCAGATCAGTATTCTGTCTACTGGCGTCAACAATCTCTTGAGTTCTGTAGTATGAGAATGAGTCATTTACTCATTACTCATTTAACGTGTCTTAGATATTGAGAAATTTTCATATAACAGATATTTTAACAGTGGTGGGAGGTTGCAGGGGTTGGAGATTGTCAGTAATAAATCTTAGACCCTGTGAAAGACCGGGCCAGTAAGGAAAGAAATGGAGAGTGAAATATTATAAGAAGAAATGACAATCGAGGGAAAGAACAGAGGGAAAGTCTAAGTAAATTTAGATAAAGTTTTTCTAATGTTGCCATCATGCCAATTACTATTCATTGCAGCAAATGCACAGAGTAAGGCAGGATAATGATTCCAATTTGATTAATTGTGAAAAGTCTCCATGAGGCAGTCATCAGTGAACTAGATTTTGATAGCAGTATGGGAACCCATGCAGGGGAAAGAAAGAGAGAGAGAGATTCCTTATGCTCAGGGCAGAGGAAAGTGCATGAGTAGTACCATCAAATACCCCACAGAAAATATGGCATTTTCTCTAAGTCATCAGGCAAACCAGGCCTACGTTTGGGACTTGGACCAGAAATTAAGCATAGATAGTTCATATTTTCATCATGATATCATCTTCTCCTCCATAAGATAATATTCAAAAATTTATTCAACTGATGTATTGAATCCTTACCATATTCCAGGAATGAGACTAAGTGCTGGAAACATAGTAATTTATGAAACAAGATAAAAATCCCTGCCTTCCTAGGCCTTACACCATGGTGAAAAGGTAACTTCTTTGCCTTTTTGTTTCCAACATCTCGTTACCCGATATATTTGTCCATGGAATAGACAGTAAAAAAGCAATTCATGTGTGGTAGAGAAAAGATTATTTTTTTCTCTTGTCTTTTATACTCTCCCATTATCACTGTCCCTCTATACTATTTGTTTTTCATGACGTTGTTAATAATCAATTCATGTTCTCAAAGGCTAACAGCAGCAATAAAAACATAATGTTGAGATTTCTCTTCCTTATGACTGTACTGAGGGGTGTGTATGTAAGGACATGAGATCATACACTCTGAACAATTTGAGTGAAGAGATTCTGGTGCTTTTAGCATGTCTCATTTTGAAAAACCTTTTTTATTTTTGGAAAGTTGGAGTTCTCACTTAGGGGTTTTATGGTCTCTTTTACAGGAGCAGAGCCTTGGCTCTTGTGTTCTAGTCCCATTCTAGCCTTCCTGAGACCAATATTCTTCTTCTGCTTTCATGTGATCCCAATGCTCTGTTTCCTACCCTCTGTGCTTATGGAGCCTGGCTCATAAAAACCTTTCATGTATTCCCACTGGAAATGCACCAGATAGGAAGCATCCGGTATGGGAAAGATGCCTCTCCTCTCTTTGCAGGACATTTTAAAGCAACTGTCTCTACTTGAGAGTATTAATTCCAGCTCAGAACTAAAGTAGGGGTTAGAATTGTCATTGTGAAGTAGCAATACAGTGTTTACAGAAAATGGATACCCAGTATTCAACATTCTTCCTCTTCTATAGATACTTTATTCTAAAATATTAATGACTTGCACCTGGACATAAATTTACCATATAGGACACATAAGGAAAAATATGGAAATGTGTATGAAAGAAACAGACTTTAGCTCACCAAAATATGTGTGTATAAGGAAAATTGAGGCAAAATGGTGCAGTGATTAAAAATGCAGTTTATAACCATGGCAGATTAGAGATGCTGTGGATTCTTATTAAGCCTCACTATGGCATTTATACTCCTTTTACAGCAGGTTAAGAGACCAGCTGCTGGGTGGGAACCAGGGTCAGGTCCTTGGCTTGGCAGCCCTGAAGCTCCACTTTGCCAGCTTTTCCAGGGGTGATCTGCTTCTTGGGAAAGATTCACCTTAAAAGCTCTCACAGGAGCCAGAATGTCAATTTCCTACTTTATCATGAGAAATGCACCCATCAGACTATCCATCCAGCATAAGACAGTAGCTGATCAGAAAACTCTCTCCCTGAAAAAAAAAAAAAAACAGCACAGAAGCCAGAGCCATACACAGATGGTGTCTTGGGGCATACATTTGGCAAAGGGGTCAGTGTTGCCAAGATATGATACGCTGACAAGTCTAGAACCACCCCAGGGATCCAACAGTCAAACCTTCCAGAGGAGTTCAGTGGTCTTAGCATCCTCTCCCTACAATTGCTGTGATACACCACCAAATTCGTTCTTCTTGAGGTTGCCTTCTCTGTACTCCATTCAGTCCCTGCCCCCTCTGTGGCCACATCTATCTCCAGATAAGAGTCCATGATAACTGACTAGGTTTCCATTTGCCAGACTGTAAATACAATTCAGTCCTGCTTCCAAGGTCACATTTTAATTGCATTTTAGATACTTCTAAAATTCTTCACTCACACAAAATTGATCACTTGGTTCATGCCTATAGATTTTACTAGTTGATTTGTCAGAAGTCGATCTTATTTTTCTTCTCTCTAAACCAGGACTCGTGCCAATGCACAGGCTGCAATACTCAACAAGAAAACGGAGAATACAAAGCAGGGCTTTGTAATCAACCACGTCAGGATCATTGAACAGCCTATTTTTGTGCTTTATTATTTGCCTGGTTGTTTGCTTTTTGGGTTTAAAGTTTAAATGCTGGCCTGCTTTTCTCTGAGTTCTCTCTGAATCAGTTCTTTGTTTGCCAAGTTCACAAGGTACACATTAACTATTAAACATGATTAGGTTCTAATCTGGCTTAACACTACCTAACAGTGGTTAAGAGGTAGGAAGGTGAGTGGAACCCACCAATACAGAAGAAAAAAAAATAGACTAGGGTGGCGATATTAAACACTTGTATGAGACACCAGCTTCTCAAACTGCAGGAGCCAACAAAATATTACACTGAATTTAACACAGCCTTGTCCCATGACTGGTCAGAAATAGACACTTTACTCAAAATGCTAATTAGGATCTCACAAGTGACTAATTCCGAATTACAAACATTTATTCAGTCTCACACAGTGGGTATGTATTGCATGGCTATCCTAGTTCCCAAGGAAAAATAAAATAACAGGAAATCATTGTTAAGAGGTCATTTATGAGGAAATCCCAAACCTCCATTTCACACCTTTGTAAGAAGCAACAAAATATCCCAAATAAGCTCAGGTAGAAAATAACTCAATCTCTGGTTTGAAGGAATTTCTCTGTAGCCACAAAGAGGGATATTTTAGGTTTTTCTTGAGTACTTGGAAGACCTGATTTGCCCTTAATGTGAGAAGAAAATGGAAGATATGGATATCCCAGGAAACCTGTGGCTGAATGCCTGAACCATGGTTCCCTAAAAGAGAGAGCAATGGCCTGACTCCATTTTCCTCCACTGTTGTCCCAGATGAATGGACCATCCCAATTTTAATCATATCAAATAAAAGTGCATGTCTTTAAACATACAATATCCAAATGCAGTCTTTCCGGAATTCAAGGATGGAATACACCATTCCTCTGAGAATTCTCTTTTGGTTCGTTTCTCCATTTATGATCAGGCATTAAAGAGTCCCTCCTAGTAATTATTTACTTATTAATATCCTGGTTGATTCAGAAATTGCCTCACCCACAAAGCCCAAACATGTGAGAAAGTCAGATTTTTTTTTTATTTTTTTAATTAGGCTAGCCTTGAGGGTTATTCAAGTGCCTTTAGGTCAAACAAAGCCCAGAGATTGTTTTGCTTTACACGGAGTCACATTGATCTTTTATGTACACGAATCATTCAACCCTCAGAAACTATTCCAAAGGAGTCCTTACTGGTTTGGAGCGTTTTTCTTAATTATGGAAAAGGCCCAAACTCTTTCTGCATGCTAATTTATTTATATCATATTTCTACTTGAGGCTTCAGAGAGCCAGGGAATTCCTGTAAGTGCTCCGCTGTCTTTCCTCCTCACTCTTCATGCTTTCTTGAATACATGAGCGTGAATAAGTAGTGTTAAGCCAGAAAGACTGCCCTAGCCAAGACCCCTCAAGAAGGAATGTGCAAATCTGGGAACACGTTCCAGAATTTCTTGCTACCAGCACAGAGCCTGATGTATAAGAAGTATCAGCCAGAAATTTCAAGTTTCTCAAGAATCACTGTATTCTCAACCAATCTCCTAAGGAGCTCTCTGAGAAGGAAATAGTTCATAAAGCAATTCTCTGTGCAGTAAAAGATTACGTCACTCCCTACCTTTGAACCCTCTAATGGATTCCCATCACAATTAGAATAAAATCCAAAGCCACACAAGATGAGCCCTTGGCTGACTCATCAACCTCATTTTCCCCTGTTCTCTCCCTTACTCATGCTGCTGCAGCCACAGTGGACACCTTGCTGCTCCTTGGACTTGCCAAGCGTATTCCTAACTTAGGGGCTTCCCATTTCCTCTGTCTTCCCCACCAAATCCTCTTGTGTCTAGAATTGGTGGGTTCTTGGTCTCACTGACTTCAAGAATGAAGCCGCCGACCCTCGCGGTGAGTGTTACAGTTCTTAAAGGCGGCATGTCCAGAGTTTGTTCCTTCTGATGTTCGGATGTGTTCTGAGTTTCTTCCCTCTGGTGGGTTCGTGGTCTTGCTGGCTCAGGTGTGAAGCTGCAGACCTTCGCCATGAGTTTTACAGCTCTTAAGGCGGCGCCTCTGGAGTTGTTCATTCCTCCTGGTGGGTTCGTGGTCTCGATGGCTTCAGGAGTGAAGCTGAAGACCTTCATGGTGAGTCTTACAGCTCATAAAGGCAGTGTGGACCCAAAGAGTGAACAGTATCAAGATTTATCGCAAACAGCTAAATAACAAAGCTTCCTGGGGCGGCCTGCTTTTGTTCCCTTATCTGGCTCCACCCACATCCTGCTGATGGGTCCACTTTACAGAGAGCTGATTGGTCCGCTTTGACAGGGTGCTGATTGGTGCATTTACAAACCTTGAGCTACACACAAAAGTTCTCCAAGTCCCCACTAGATTCGCTAGACACAGAGCACTGATTGGTGCATTTACAAACCCTGAGCTAGACACAGAGTGCTGATTGGTGCATTCACAATCCCTTAACTAGACATAAAGGTTCTCCAAGTCCCCACCAGATCAGCTAGACACAGAGCGCAGATTGGTGCATTTATAAACCTTGAACTAGACACAGGGTGCTGATTGATGTATTTACAATCCCTTAGCTAAACATAAAGGTTCTCCAAGTCCCCCAGATCAGCTAGACACAGAGCGCTGATTGGTGTATCCATAAACCCTGAGCTAGACACAGGGTGCTGATTGGTGTGTTTACAAACCTTGAGCTAGATACAGAGTGCTGATCGGTGTATTTACACTCCCTTAGCTAGCCATAAAGGTTCTCCAAGTCCCCACTAGACTCAGGAGCCCAGCTGGCTTCACCCAGTGGATCCCACACCGGAGCCGCAGGTGGAGCTGCCTGCCAGTCCCGTGCCGTGCGCCTGCACTCCTCAGCCCTTGGGCGGTAGATGGGACCAGGCGCCTTGGAGAAGGGGGCGGCACTCGTCGGGGAGTCTCTGGCAGCCAGCGCAGGAGCCCACGGCGGGGGGACGCGGGGAGGCTCAGGCATGGCGGGCTGCAGGTCCCGAGCCCTGCCCCACGGAAGGCATCTAAGGCCCGGTGAGAAATTGAGCGCAGCGCCGGTTTGCCCGCACTGCTGGGGGACCCGGCGCACCCTCTGCAGCTGCTGGCCCGGGTGCAAAGCCCCTCACTGCCAGGGGCCGGCGGGGCCGGCCCGGCCACTCCGAGTGTGGGGCCCACCAAGCCCACACCCATCCGGAACTCTTGCTGGCCCGCAAGCACTGCGCAGCCCCGGTTCTCGCCCGCGCCTCTCCCGCCACACCTCCCCGCAGGCTGAGGGAGCCGGCTTTGGCCTCGGCCATCCCAGGAAGGGGCTCCCACAGTGCAGCGGCGGGCTGAAGGGCTCCTCAAGCGCGGCCAGAATGGGCGCCCGAAGCTGAGGAGGCGTCCAGAGCAAGCGAGGGCTGCGAGGGCTGCCAGCATGCTGTCACCTCTCACTCTTAGTTTGAAGAGCTAAACAGTTCATCCTCTTCATTGTATTTCATATCTCTTTATGTGTTGTTTCCTTTTCTTCTTTCTTTCTGGAATGTCTACTTCAGAAGGTCAAGGGCACTTTTTGTGTTGTTCACTGCCATATCCCCAAGGCTTGGAATATAGTAAGCTCTTAATAAATATTTCTTGAATGAATAACTGAATAACAAGTTATCTAAATATACTAATTCATTTTTAAATAACAAGAGAGCCCCTGTTTGTGTTCACCATTGCATTCCTGCTGCCTAGAAGAATGACTGGCAAATTATAATCATCACTATGTGCTGGGAGATAACGTTGCAAAAGAAAAACAAAGTTCACACGGCTCCTACAAGCATTATATTCAACCAACTTGAGATGGCAAACAAATAAATACATAAGTAAATATGCAAAAAAAAAAAAAACAGAAAGAGAAGAATGGCAGTATCCTGTGCTAGAAAGTGAGGAAACTACTTCACATTAGGTGTAACTCTGATAAGGTAACATTTAAGCTAAGTCCTGTCTGATAAGAAGGCATAAGCCGTGCTGAGATCTATGATGAGAGCATTCCAGACAGACAAAGGCAATAGCACAAAGCCTCTAAGGTGAGCAGATACTGAGTATGCTGGAGAAAGAAGGAGAGCATGTACGTAGCATAGTTATGGAGAGCATGGTATGAGATGAGTTTCAGAGAGGAAGTTCTTCAGGCCAGATCCTGTAGAGAGGTGTAAGCCAAGGAAAAGATAATAAAGTTGATTTAAGTGGTATTGGAGGTGCAGGCAGATTTTAAGCAATGAAGTGACACAACCCAGTGTTCTAGGCAGAAGATGATTGTGAGTGGTCTAGGGTGAATGTAGTGTAGAGGAAGAGAAGTGAATGGATTCAGGATATGCTTTAGAGGTGAAATCAACAGAGAGTGAGGGAAAGAGAGGAACATGGATACCACCCAAATTTTAACTTCAACAACTTGGTTGATAGAAAACTGGGGGAGGAGCATAGGTTCTGTTTTGAATATTTTGGATTCAAGATACCTATTAGATATGCAAGTGAAGATATCACATGGACAGTTCAATATATGAATATAGAATACAGGGAAAATTTCAGGGCCGGAGATACAGATTTGGGTGTCCTCACTGATAAAAGAAAAACTTCAGCCAAATTAAACTTAAAGGAGTTTAATTGAGCAATGAAAAATTCACGAATCGGGCAGCCCTCAGAATCATAGCAGATTCACAGAGACTCTTTATATACATATATTTTTAAATATATATATACTTTAAGTTCTGGGATACACGTGCAGAATGTGCAGGTTTGTTACATAGGTATACATGTACCATGGTGGCTTGCTGCACCCATCAACCCATCATTTACATTAGGTATTTCTCCTAATGCTATCCTTCCCACAGTCCACCCCCCAGCAGGCTCCGGTGTTCCCCTCCATGTGTCCATGCGTTCTCATTATTCAACTCCCACTTATGAGTGAGAACATGCAGTGTTTGGTTTTCTGTTCCTGTGTTAGTTTGCTAAAAATGATGGTTTCCAGCTTCATCCATATCCCTGTGAAGGACACGAACTCATCCTTTTTTATGGCTGCATAGTATTCCATGGTGTATAAGGGCCACATTTTCTTTATCCAGTCTATCATTGATGTACATTTGGGTTGGTTCCAAGTCTTTGCTATTGTGAACAGTGCTGCAATAAAGCACTGTGTGCTGCAATAAAGCACTGCAATAAAGACATATGCATGTGCATGTGTCTTTATAGTAGAATTATTTTTAATCCTTTGAGTATATACCCAGTAATGGGATTGCTGGGTCAAATCGTATTTCTGGTTCTAGCTCCTTGAGGAATCACCACACTGCCTTCCACAGTGGTTGAACTATTGCACTCCCACCAACAGTGTAAAAGCATTCCTATTTCTCCACATCCTCTCCAGCATCTGTTGTTTCTTGACTTTTTAATGATCACCATTCTAACAGGCGTGAGATGGTATCTCATTGTGGTTTTGATTTGCATTTCTCTAATGACCAGTGATGATGAACTTTTTTCATGTTTGTTGGCTGCATAAATGTCTTCTTTTGAGAAGTGTCTGTTCATATCCTTTGTCCACTTTTTGATGGGGTTGTTTGTGCAGCCTCATGGTGGAAGAAGATTTATAGACAAAAAAAGGGAAATGATGTATAGAAATTGGAAGTGAGGTACAGAATGGCTGGATTGGTTACAGGTTGCATTTGCCTTATTTGAATATAGTCTGAACACTCAGCAGTGTATGAATGGTTGAGGTACAGCCGCCGGGATTGGCCAAGACTCAGTTATTGTTATAGGCACATACTCCTAAGTTAGGTTTTCAGTCTTGTCTACCTATGAAGCTAGGCTGCAGTTAGTCATAAGGATTCAAATATAGAAGTACAGAGTCCTCAGGCCACATTTAGTTCACTTTCACATTACCATATAGAAGTTATTTAGAAGCTAAGTACTAGATAAAATTACCTAAGGAGAAGGCATAGATAGATCACATCAGAACCCTGACCCTATCCCTGGAGCATACCAATATTTAAATTTGAAGAAAGTGGGAATAAATACATATCACTGAAAAGCAGTTAAGAGGAAAACCATCAGGGTAATGTCCAGGAAGTCAGAAAAAGAATGTCTCAGAGAGAGTGAGGCAGCTGCCAAGTGCTGCTGAGAAGTCTAGTAAGATGAAAACTCCCAATCCCACTGGTTTTGGCAGCATGGGATTACTGCTGTCTTTGAGAGAAGACCATCCTTAGTCACATAGTGGAGACAGAGCCCAAATGGAAAAGACTGAAGAAAGAATGAGAGGAATGAAAGTGAAATTATTTATTTTAGACAATTATTTCAAGTTTTGTTGTAAAGGGAAGCACTCAATATATGGAAACTAGGATAATATGAGTTTATATAGTTCCACTGTCCACTGGGAATTTCAGAGGGATGTGAAAATTTGTTCCCGTATAAAATGAATTGATGAGTTTCTTACCCTATGGACAATTAAGATTACAAGGTTGTTCATGTAGAATTAAACTCTTTATTAATTATATCAAAGCCTGTAGGAAATCATGAATGCAGATCACAACTAAGTTAATTGTAATATGCAATAGAAAAATAGAAATGTAAAGCTTCTTGGATAATAACTTCCTATAGGCTCTCAGATGAAACGCTTTCAAAACCTACAGTAACTCGGAATTGTACCTTACATAATAGTAGTAAGGAACATTATATATCAATTGAATTAATAAATCCAATCAAATATTAAAAGTATTGTATGGGAAATCAAGGGAAACCTATGGTGAGAATTTTAATAGCTATATTATGCGATGCTCCAGAAAGAATCTTCGGCAACTTAGAAAAAGATACACATAGTTATAATGGTTATCAGTGGCTGGGAAGGTGATTGAGGGGTTGCAGGGAGAGGTGGGGATGGTCAATGGGAAAAAAAAACAGAAAGAATAAATAGACCTATTATTTGATAGCACAACAGGGAGACTATAGTCGATAATAACTTAATTGTACATTTTAAAGTAACTTGAAGAATGTAATTGGATTGTTTATAACTCAAAGAGTAAATGCTTGAGGGGGATGGATTCAAAAATACATAAATAAACAAGAAAATTTAAAGTGAAAGAATAGATGGGGAATAGGTGGAAACAAGACTTCTCACAGTATATGTTTTTATTTCCTTTTAATTTTGAAGTATGCAAATATATTAATTATGAAGAAAATTAAATTTTTTAAGAGTGCAGTGGTTTGATCCAAAGCTGAAGAGACAGGTTACTGAACAGGTCTTAGCAATCAGGCTGGAGTGGTGTTTTAGGTCTGCTGTGGGTCATATCGAATGGAAAACAGTAAGATAGGAGCTCTATGTTGGCTGGGTGGAGGCAAAGCCTAAATAAATAAAGGGAAAGCCAGTGACCAGGGGCCAAATCTAACATTTCAGAGAACTTTCAGTATGGGGAAATTGGGCATAATTATTATGATGTGATACAAGCAGGCAGATATATATTCAAGAACACTCTTCTCTGAGGATCCATTCTAGGACAGGGGCTTTGTTTCATGCTTTGATTTTTTATTTCAAATATTTCTGAGTAAAAAGGCCAATTTGGTGCATGTTAGACTGTTATCCAGAAGGAAAAAGATCTGGAAAAAAAGTCGGTTCTGCTGAAGCTAGAAGCCAATGTGAACAGCAAAGGGAGAGAGTTAGTTCTTCTTAAGGATCCTTCGGGTTTGAGCCCCAGCATTTTTCTGTCTTTCCTGAGGTTTAACAGCCAGACACAGGCAGTACTTTGAATGTGGGTGGTCCCTCAATTCCCACCAGGGTAGGTAACTGTTCTCAATTTTGACGCTGTTTTGCCCAATGTTTTGTTGGCCTTCCTACTGAGTCACTTTTTCCTCTGTTTAATTTATGTGCCATACTAGTATCTTCATATCTTGCAGGACCTCAGACCCAAGGCTATCAAATTAGATTGATTTGTTTCTCCAAATAACTGAGCATCACCTCCTATCTGTCCTATTTTTTTAATTAATGACTTCAGTTTTTAGAGCAGTTGCAGGTTTTCAGGAAAATTGGGCAGAAAGAGAGTTCCCATATATTCTCTCCCCCACCTCCCACCACAGTTTCCCCAGTTATTAGCATCTTGAATTACTGCGGTACATGTGTTCTTATTAATGAGCTAATATTGATATATTAGTGCTAAATAAAGTTTACATTAAAGTTCATTCTTTGTGTTGTACATTCTATGGATACTGACAGCTGTTTAAGACACTTGCCCTCCTTAGAGTATCATACAGTTTCATTGCCCTAAAAATCCCCTGTGCTCCATTGATTCATCCCTCTCTCTCTCTTCCTTCCACTCCCAACCTCCACCCACTGATCTTTTTATCTGTCTCCACAGTATTGCCTTTTTTTTTTTTTTTTTTTTTTGAGACGGAGTCTCGCCCTGTTGCCCAGGCTGGAGTGCAATGGAGTAATCTTGGCTTACGGCAACCTCTGCCTCCCGGGTTCAAACAATTCTCTGCCTCAGCCTCTGGAGTAGCTGGGATTACAGGCACCCGCCACCACGCCCAGCTAATTTTTGTATTTTTAATAGAGATGTGGTTTCACCAGGTTGGCCAGGCTGGTCTCAACTCCTGAACTCGTGATCCGCCCGCCTCGGCCTCCCAAAATGCTGGAATTACAGGCATGAGCCACCGTGTCCGGCCCATAGTATTGCCTCTTACAAAATGTCATACAATTGGAATCTCATAGTGTATAATTTTTCATATTGGCTTCTTTCACTTAGTAATGTGCCTTTAAGTTTCATCCATGTGTTTTTAGCTCAGGAGTTTATTTTTAATGTTGAATAATATCTCATTGTATGGATGCACTGTAATTTGTTTATCCAGTCACATATTGAAGGCTATCTTTGTTATTTCCAAGTTTTGGCCAGTATGAATAAAGTTGCTATAAACAGTCATGTGAAGGTTTTTATACAGTCATAGTTTTTAACACATTTAGGTAAATAGCAAATAACACAATTGCTGGATTGTATGTTAAGACTATGTTTAGTTTTGTAAGAAACTGTCAAACGATCTTCCAAAGTGGTTGCATCCTTTTACATTCCTACCAGCAATAAGTAGGTGTTCTTAATGATCCACATCCTTATTGGCATTTGGTATTGTCAGTATTTTTTATTTTAACCATTCTAGTAGTATTTCATTGTTGTTTTAACTCACAATTCCCTAATAATATATGATGTTGAACACCTTTTCATATGTTTACTTGTCATCTGTATATCTTCTTTTGTGAGGTGTTTTCAGATCTTTTGTCCAGTTTTTAATTGGATTGTTTGTTTTATTCTTTCTGAGTTTCAAGAGTTCTTTGTATATTTTGGAGGCCAGTCCTTTACCAGATAGGTGTTTTTACAAATATTTTATCCTTCTGTGGCTTGTCTTTTCATTATCTTAATCTAATTTATTTTTAATGAGACAAACATCATCTCATGTGAAATCGACACCCAAAAACTGTTTTTCTTGACCAGTTTATTTTCCCATTTTCCCAGTTTACAGACACATGTTGTTACTTCTGGAACAAGTTTAGCATCATATACACCATTAATACTTTACTGTGCCTTACTGAATTTCTATAATCACTGATTCCTTGAACTTTAAGATTTCACTCTGTTGAAAACTGTGAAGGCTCTGAGGTTTATCCTACTCGCAGACTAACAAGTTAACTCCCCATAGTTTGATGGTTGCCATCAAAAGACATGAGACTCCTGGGTAAGACAGAAATGACTTTACAACTCATGGCACAGCAAGCTTTACAAGCTTCATGTTTGTGCAGGTTCTCTTTGTTTCCCAAGTCCCACTGGGGAGATGCCGAGAAGCCCAGGTGGATGGTGAGTATGCAATAAATTTGTATCACACAGAGGGACTCTGAGCTTAGAAAACTCCAATCTTTTAAAGGGGTGCTTTTTCCTCTCCTATAAGGGAGACTTCCAAGACTGTTTGCTATATAAACATTCTTGAAAAGATAGTCTGGAACAAAATCTGTCAATTCCTCTGCTCAGAAGATATGTAGAAATGTGAGAGACCCATGGAGAATTTTCTTCCAAAGTAATCTTTCATCTCTCCAGGTCATGGTAAACTGCCAAAATAGTATTATATTTTAAAAAACCTCCTTATACTTAGCAAAAATACCTGTAATTGTTCTCTATTAGCTAGACAAAATATAAACTCCTTAGCAGAGCATCAAGAAGATTAAATATCGGTTTCCCAACTAACCTTTATAATCTTAATCCTAAAACTTCCCAACATGTATCATTCATACCAACCAATACAAACCTTTGTGCTCTTTTTCTTGTTTAACTAGTTCTATATTTCATTCCTTCCAGCCTCTCTGTCTCAAATGCTATGCCCATATTAACAACTTCATTGATACAATGAGACCTATTTGTTCAGGCATTAAACCAAATGGTACCTCTCACATAAGACATTTTTAAATGAATCCCTTCCTTCTCCAGAACTCTTCTAGCACTTTTTTTTCCCATAACTCAATTTAAGTATACTTTATAAAGTTGTCTATTTGCATTTTCTCTCTATTAGTGTGCAAAAAACTAGGGCCTATATCTCAATTTTGTTTTTCTTACACTAAGAACTATGTCTAGCAAATATTGAGTGAATGAAAGAATACATAAATATTGTGATTTTTGTATTTTCCTAAGGAATTTCTAGAGAGAGAAGATGGTATAATTTTAATAAACAATCATCTTCTATCAATAAAACAACTGTTTCTCAACTCTCCAACTTTTTTTCATCACTACAATAATCAGAGATTTTTTTAGACCTTCCTGGTATTTTAGGACACAACCCAGTGCTTCCTTTTATTAAACCTGCTGCAACATTTTAACTGAATGTGAAAGTAGAAAAGCAAAATAAAAAACTGCATTCTGGCTTGTCAACATCCCTCATTTTATCTCTTTTATCTCCACTAAAATCCTTCCTCAACTTTCCTAACTGTTTGACATCCTTTGAGTGCTTTCATATAAGCATTGCTTGTCATGAAGTCACCTTGCACAACCCAGCCCTCCCAAGAAGAGGGCAGGTTTCAATTAAGCTAACAGACAGCAGGGTGATAACAGTGTCCACTGGGATCAGAATAACACAATGTTTTCAAGAATGAAGGGTTTATAACTTTCTCCAGAAACTAACAAGCAAGGCAGCTCGGCTTGCAAGGAAGACAAGATGGCTCCATCACAGAGACTGTAAAGGGGCAAAACAAGGGTTAAAACTAGCTACTCAGAGATGCAAACCAAAGGCTTTTGGCAAAAGCATGGACTTTATTTTCACAAAATTCTGGGTTTTAAAGTATTTGCTTTTTACCAGCTCAGAGAAATTTGTTATTTTGTCTCTTCAACAAATATCTTTTAAATCCCTAATAAGACAATAGTCAACAGAGCAAAAGCAATCTCAGTCCTGGTAGATTTTGCAGTCTAGCAGGGCATAGATGGAAAGCAAATAAGCAAGCAAATCAATTTATATTTATGAATTAAGTGCCATGAAGGAAAAGCACAAGGTGTCAGGAAAGTTGTTTGTAAAAAGCTACCTAGATTGCATGGTCTAGAAAGCCTCCTATTGGGAGGTAGCTTTACTTGATAAGAAAAATAAGAAGCCAGTCATGCAAAGAGCATGGAGGGACTGGGAGGAGGAGGGAACAATTAATCAGGGAAAGTAAAAGTATTTTACCTCATCAGCAAAATGGGTGTTCTTATGAGAGTTTACATATAAAGGGTTTGGCACAGTTCTGATGCATTGTAAATGCTCAGCAAGTGATGGTTCTTGTTATTGCTATGGCTATTGACCTTATATACTTTTTAACCAATCTTTAAAAGCCTACAGATCACTGATCAATCTTTTAAACACCAATAGACACTTAAATAATAAGCATCAGCAGTTACATCTTTAAAAAAGAGGGAAATATGTAGAACATTATATACAACATAGAGAAAATCTCATAAGAAACTCAGTATCCTCACTAATGTATATGCTGATAATTAGGAATTTTACATTTGTTCTCTGAAGCAAGTGAAAATGTAATTGAAATGTAAGCAGGCAAAATGTTTAATTTAATGAAGAAAACCTGTTGTTTTTGAGCAGCTTTAACCATGTACACTTGCATACAATTAATGTGTTGATTACAAATGACTTGAGTTTTATTTTATCATTAAAGCATGGCAAGTAAGACCTTATTCTGTAACACTTGACCTTTGCAAATTTGCATTTCTTGACAAAGTTTGCCATACATAAATAATGCCACTAACTTAGACTGATTATTTTCTTCAGTTAGTCCAAATTAGAGGTTTTTTTGTGTGGTCAGTTCTAAATTTACCTGCTTTCCTTTAGTAGCTTTTTATAATTTATACTTTATCATTTTCCAGAAGGTAATGGATCCAATTAAGGTGGACTTTTCATGGTTAAACGACCTTTGTAATAGTTATAATTTGATAAAGATTGAAAAGCTGTTCAAGATATAATTTTCTTTACTTTATTATTCTGCCAAATCTTCCTTTCTATAATCCTTAAGACTATCCCTACATTTCTGATTCCATATGCGCAGAGCTCCATAAGGGCCCCATATGATTCTCTACATACTTAAAAAGATTTTTGTCTTTGTTGTCTGCCTCATGGGAGGAGATAAGTTGTTATAAAAGTTGTGCAAATTTTAGCACAAAATACCTAGAAACCAGCCTCCCATTAGACAAAAAGCCCCAAACTTGGCCTTACATGACTAATGTGTTTTATTAATTTTGAATGATAATCTTGATGTCCCACAGAAAGGATGGTTTCAGATCACGTCTAGAGTGTGTCCTTTACAGTTTGTCATGTAAAATATTTTGAAATGTATAAGATCGTCATGAGATAAGTGTCGAGCAATGTTAAAGGGTAATTTTCAAAATAAGGATAATATCATGGATTTCATACAGATGTCAAGTGAGTTTGTATTAGAGATTTTATTTAACTCATTATTAGTGAGGGCATTGGTAAGAGGTTACAAGCAATTCAAAGGAGAATTCAAAGAAAAACAATTTGTAGGTCAAGTTTATTGAAATGGAGGCAAAAGTCTTGCTACTTCCATAATAAGTAAAAAAGGCAATTGAATCTCTACTGGGCTGAATCTAGTTGAATGTCCAAAACAACAATTATCATTCATTTCTATCAATTATCTACAGTTTACAGAATTGTAAAATAGCTCAAAGTCAATGAAAGCCCAGAGCCTCCATAAAATCAGAATCAGATAACCTAGAAGAGATTGTTTTAACCAATTCAGTTTTCCAATGAAGCACAAAATTTTCCCTACAACATAAATAGTACATATACTTTCCACTGTTGTTAACAAACTCATTCATCCACAAACATATACTGATATCTTCCTATATGCAACACAGAAGGCTAGTCTCTGGGGACACAGAAGTGAATCATATATAATCTCTATCCTCGAAAAGCCTAAAATACCACAAGGAGAGACATATGCAAACAAATGAGGGTAAAAAGTGTCAGAGGAGTTATAATAAAGGTTTATACAGAACAGAGTAGTAAAAGGAATAATGAATAAGCTTCAGTATGTGCTTTATGCCTGTAATTGTTCTAAATGCTTCTCATACGGTTGTTTCCTTTAAACTTCATAGCTCCATGTGGTAAGTTCAATTTCAAACCCATTTTACAAATAAGGAATCTGAGGCACAAGGGAATTAAATAAATACATCCAAGATCCCACATATCCTACATGGTAGAGCCAGAATTTAGGCCTAAATCTGATTCTAGAGCCCATACTCCAATCTCTGTACTGTACTATCCTCCCATAAAAGATAGAGTACTTCATTTTACCTTGGGTGAGGGGTGGGGGTAGGAAACTGGAGGAGAAATCTAAGATGAATTTTAAAAGATGACTGATGTGCATCTACAGGTTGGAACAGGGGCTTTCCAGAAAGAGAGCCACATGGGCCAATGTACCAAGACCTGCCTTGCTCTGAAAGGTCACAGAGCACCTTTCAGGCCAAACTAAAAATGTTTATATGTATGATGAATGAAAAACTGACAAAGAATTTAAAGCTAGAGAGAAACATGATCCATTTTGCTTTTTAAAAAGAACTATGGTTTGATTGTTGTTTTTTTCCCCCCAAGATGGTAGATGGGAGGCATTGTTAGTATGCCTCTCCCACTTGCAAAGACAAAATAGAGTGTAGAGATTCACACTGTGAGCTTTTTTTCCAAGAAGCAACACAGGAACTTAACAGGAAAACTGAAAGAAAGCACAGATGCTTTGAAAGAAGCTCCCTACATGGAGCATCAACATTCTTGCAGATGAAAAAAGGGTCTTTCTGATCTGAATACCCAGAACACTGGGTCAGGAGTATGAATGACAGGTGGATGACTATCTAGCTGGCCTGGCAGGGGAGCTGAGGTGGCTCCCTCCCTTCCCCATGAAAGCTCCCCAGCCACCTCTGTTAAGGCTGCAACATCTGCCAACCATTGGGTATTGCATTTACCCACCTGCTTTAGCCACAACTGGCTTTAACCAATGGACATCTCCCCTACTGGCCTGAAGCCTGAACCATTCAACCACATTAGTAAAATCCTGAGGGAAAAATAACAAATAAATAAATGTACACCACTGGAGAAGAAGATAAACATATCAAGATACCTCTGCAATTCCAACCCCACAGGAGACAGTGAACCTGCTCACACACCTACCACGTTGCCACTGTCACCAGAATCTGAGAAAGACATCATACAAAGACTCTCTATAACCAAGAAACTCATACAGAGTCTTTACAACCCTGCAAGCACCAAGAGCCAAATTAGGCCACATTAAATTATAAACAATAAGGTCACATCCTCAAAGGGAAAAAATAGTGAAAAAACTACAGCCAAATAAAAAATAAAATCAGGAATAACTAGAAATAGTCTACCCAAATGAGGAGTCAGAAAAATAATTCTGGTAGGAGACAGATTATCCAGACACAAAGTCAACAAAGAAACACTAGAGTTAAACTAAACTCTAGCAAACAGACCTAATCAATATTTACAGAACATTCTACCCAAGATCTGCAAAGCATACTTTCATCTCATCAGCATATGGAACATTCTCCAAGATAGATCACACATTCTAGGACACAAAACAAGTCTCAATAAATTTTTAAAAATGAAAGTCATATCAAGTATCTTCTAAGACCCAGTGGAATAAAACTAGAAATCAACACCAAAAGGAGCCCTCAAAACTATACAAATACATAGAAATTAAACAATCTGCTCCTGAATGATTTTAGGGTTAACAATGAAATCAAGATGAAAATTGAAAAATTCTTCTAAATAAATGATAATGTGTCACAAGTTATCAAACCTCTGGGATACAGCAAAAGCAGTGCTAAGAGGAAAGTTTATAGTGCTAAGTACCTACATCAAAAAGTTCAAAAGGGCCAGGTGCAATGGCTCACGTCTGTAATCCCAGCACTTTGGGAGGCTGAGGCGAGTGGATCACGAGGTCAGGAGTTCAAGACCAGCCTGTCCAAGATGGTGAAACCCCGTCTCTCTAAAAATACAAAAATTAGCCAGGTGCAGTGGCAGGCACCTGTAATCCCAGCTACTCAGGAGGCTGAGGCAGGAGAATCGCTTGAACCCAGGGAACAGAGGCTGCAGTGAGCCAAGATTGTGCCACTACACTCCAGCCTGGGAGACAGAGTAAGACTCTGTCTCAAAAAAAAAAAAAAAGGTTCAAAAGATCACAGATTCACAACCTAATGTCATGCCTCAAGGAACTAGAGAAACAAGAACAAACCAAACTGAAAGCTAGCAGAAGAAAAGAAATAACAAAGATCAGAGCAGAACAAAATTAATTTGAAACAAAAAGTACAAAAGATCAATGAAACAAAAAGTTGGTTCTTTGAAAAAATAAACTAAATTTGATAGATTAACAAAGAAAAGAGAGAAGATTCAAATAAGTTCAACTAGAAATGAAAATGGAGACATTAAAACCAACACCACAGGAAAAAAAAATACAAATATTATTGAAGTCTACTATGAACACTTCTATGTATACAAACTAGAAAATCTAAAGGGAATGGATAAATTCTTGGAAACACAACTCTTCTTGATTGAAGCAGGAAGATATGGAAATCCTGAACAGACAAAAATGAGTAGTGAGATTGAATCAGTAATAATAATAATAATAATAATAAAAAGTTGCCAACAACAACCAAAAAACCCAGGGCCAGATGGATTCACAGCTGAATTCTACCAGATATTGAAGGGAGAATTAGTACCAATCCCACTGAAACTACTCCAAAAGAGTGAGAAAAAGGGAATCCTCCCTAACTAAGTCTATCAAGTCAGTGTCACTCTGATACCAAAACTAGGAAAGGACATTACAAAAAAAAAGAAAGCTATAGACCAATTTCCCTGATGAACATCGGTACAAAAATTCTCAACACAATACTAACACATCGAATCCAACATCACATTAAAAAGATAATATACCATAATCAAGCACGTTTCATCCCAGGGATGCAGGGATGTTTTAACATACACAAGTCAATAAATGCAATATATCACAAAAACAGAATTAAAACCAAACTATATGACCATCTCACTAGATTCAGAAAAAGCATTTGATAAAAGCCATCATCCATTCATGATAAAAAAAAAAACCTCAACAAACTAGGCACAGAAAGAACATACCTCAAAGTAATAAAAACTCTGTATGACAAGCATAAAGCCAACATCATACTGAATGGGAAAAAGTTGAAAGCATTCCCCCTAAGAACTAAAATAAGACAAGGACACCTACATTCACTTCTATTCAACAGAATACTGGAAGTCCTAGCCAGAGCAATCAGACAAGAGAAAGAAATTAAAGGTGTTCAAATTGGAAAAGAGGGAGTCAAACTATCTCTGTTGGCTGATGATATTCTCATATATCTAGAAAACCCTAAAGACTTGTCCAAAAGACTTCTAGATTTGATAAATGAATTCAGCAAAGTCTCAGGTTACAAAATCAATGTACATAAATAGGTAGCACTTCTATACACCAAAAATGACCAAGCTGAGAATCAAATCAATAACTCAATCCCTTTTCTGATAGCTGCAAAACATAAAATAAAATACCTAGGAATATACTTAACCAAGGAGGTGAAAGATCTCTACAAAGAGAACTATAAAACACTGCTGAAAGAAATCATAGATGACACAAACAAATACTTTCATCTCATCAGCATATGGAACATTCTCCAAGATAAATCATACACTCTAGGACACAAAACAAGTCTCAATAAATTTTTAAAAATCAAAGTCTCAATAAATTTTTAAAAATGAAAGCATGGGAAATACATCCCATGCTCATGGATTAGAAGAATCAATATTGTGCAAATGTACTATTCAAAGCAATCTACAAATTCAAAGCATTTCCTATCAAAATACCAACATCATTTTTTCACAGAATTAGAAAAAACAATCATAAAATGCATATGGAATCAAAAAAGAGCTCAAATAGCCAAAACGATCCCAAGCCAAAACAACAACAACAACAACAACAACAAAGCAAATTTAGAGGCATCACATTATCACATTACCTGACTTCAAATTATACTACAAGGCTATAGTTACCAAGACAGCATGGCACTGGTATAAAAGTAGATACATAGACCAATGGAACAGAATAGGAACACAGAAATAAAGCCAAATACTGCAACCAACTGATCTTCAATAAAGCATACAAAAACACAAATTGGGGAAAGCACATCCTATTCAATAAATGGTTCTGGGAAAACTGAATAGCCATATATACGAGAATTACACTAGACCCCTATCTCTCACTACATACAAAAATCAACTCCAGGTGTATCAAAGACTTAAATCTATGACCAGAAAGCATAAAAATTCTAGAAGAAAACCTAGAAAAAACTCTTCTGGACATTGGCCAGAAAGGAATTTATGACTAAGGCCCCAAAAGCAAATGCAACAAAAACAAAAATAAAGAAATGGGACCCATTTAAATTAAAAAGCCTCTTTGCATGGCAAAACAAATAATCACCAGAGTGAACCATCAACCCAGCAAGTGGGAGAAAAGGTTTGCAAACTATGCGTCTGACAAAAGACTAATATCCAGAATCTACAAGGAACTCAAACAAATCAGTGAGAAGAAAATAATCCCACCAAAAAGTGGGCAAATGACATACATAGATTTCTCAAAAGAAGACATAAAATAGGCCAACAAATATATGAAAAAATGCTCAACACCATTTGTCATCAGGGAATTGCAAATTAAAACCACAATGCAATACCACCTTACCTCAGCCAAAAGGGCCATTATTAAAAACTAAAAAAAAAAAAAAAAAAAAAAAAAAGATCTTGGTGTGGATGTGGTGAAAAGGGAACACTTACACACTGCTGGTGGGAATGCAAATTAGTACAACCTCTATAGAAAACTGTATGGAGATTTCTTAAATAACTAAAAATAAATCTACTATTCAATGCAGCAATCCCTCTACTGGGTAATTAGCCAAAGGGGGAAAAAAAGTCATTATATCAAAAAGACACCTGAATGTGTATGTTTATCACAACACAATTCACAATTGCAAATATATGGAACCAACTTAAGTGCCCATCCACTGATGAGCAGATTAAGAAAATATGGTGTAGATAACCATGGATTACTACTCAGCCACAAAAAAAGAATAAAATAATGTCTTTTGCAGCAACTTGAATGGAACTGGATGCCATTATTCTAAGTGAAGGAACTCAGAAAGGGAAAATTAAATATTGTATAATCTCGCTTATAATTGGGAGCTAAGCTATGGGTACACAAAGGCATACAGAGTGGTATAATGTACTTTGGAGACTTAGGATGGGGGAGGGTGGGAGGAGAGTAAAGAATAAATATATACCTGTTGGATACAATGTACACTACTCAGGTGATAGATGCAATAAAATCTCAGACTTTATCACTGTACAATTAATCTATGTAACCAAAAATCACTTCTACCCTAAAAGCTATTTAAATAAATAATTTGAACTATGGTCTTTATTCTTAAAATGGCAATATGGATGATGGATTACAGACTACAGAGAGAACTGTAAAACACTGCTGAAAGAAATCATAGATGACACAAACAAATGGAAATACATCCTATGCTCATGAATTAGAAGAATCACTATCATGCAAATGACCATACTATCTAAAGCAATCTACAGATTCAATGCATTAAGAATTGCATTGGGATAATCATTAAGAAACTATGGGAATAGGGCAGATAATGACCTAAACCAAGGCAGTAATACTGGAGAGGTAGAGGAGCAATACGCACACACACACATATGCACACACACACACACACATTGACACACACAGAACATGAAGGAAGTGAAGGAAGTATAGTTTATAGAACTCAGATATAGGGCTATCATAGACCACTGATTTTAAAATGACATATAATAAGCTTTCTATTTTAAGTTATAGGAGATGCCATACTATTCATTGAGGTTGAAAAAAAAAAGTAAGAAGAAACAGATTTGTTGGAAATATGAGCTTGATTACGGACGCGTTGAGTTTGAAGTGAAAACATCCAGAAGAAAGTTGGATATTAAGCAGAAGAGCCCAAGCAAAAAGTCTAAACACTGATGAAGATTCACGAATCTTGAATACCAAGGGGGTAGATGAAGCCATAAAAAGAAATCAAATTACCCTAGGCAGGCAGAAAAGTCAGAAGAGAAAAGAGAGAACATTGAGGCACATCAACAATAAAAGTATAGACCAAGAAAGACCTGTGATGAGACCAGGAAGGAAGAGAAGTAGGGGATTCGAAAGCAAGTGAGTTATGAATCATAGGGAGGAAAATGGTTTTCAAGGAAGATGGAAATTATTAGTTTCAAATACCACAGATAAGACAAGTCCTGTGGAGGCCTGAGTCATCAGTTCCCTTGCCAGAGTGGTTTCAGCAGTATGAAGTGCAGTTGGAGAAGTTACCTGAAAAGTGAGTGGGCATAGGTGGGTAAAGGTAGCAGAATGAAACCATTCATTTACCCATCCTCTCTTCTATATCCACCCACCTAACAGTAAAGGAATTTTTAAAACCCTTACCCTGTGATGGACAAAGCAAACAGGAGAGGAAAACAATTTTTGGAAGCTGGAAAACTGACAGATGAGTGGTAGATGATTTAACAAAGTGAAGAAAGTTGTATTCTCAACCAACAATGAGGAAAGCTAAGCAACCAATTTGCACCCCAGATCTCCCACCCAACTCTTCTGGAAATAATGGCACCAGATGTTGATGCCACTGGGATTTTGATGGAAGACAGGATTAAAAACAGAAGGATTATTTGAAAGTTTATTTAAAAAGCACTCAGACTCCAAATGGCCTCTCTTCTCCAGTAGACAGGCTTCCACTTTATGGAAAACTAGAGATTTATAGTCAGCAGAAAATGAAAAAAAAATAATTACGTGAGAAGACACAGTCCTTGGTTGTGTATCATACTGAATTCAGTGAGTTTTAAAGGAAATTTTCATACTCAATGTTGAAACCTTCAGCCCTCTTCCTATCTCTGTCCCAGAAAGTGGTATCCAGAATTACAGCTTCCAGGCAGGAGACTAAAAGAGTCTTCACCAGTGATTCTGATCAGCCTAAGGAAAAAAGACCTAAAAATACTGATATCTGGGATTCCCCAAAAAACAGCTGAAACAGCCAAAACCTGACCACAAAAATCAAGCCCATAGTTCACAAGCCAGAACTCACCCACTCTTACAGAGCTTTCCATCAGCTTTACAGTGTTACAACCTGAAACATAAACAGATAGTCACAGATCACCAGACAACTAAAGAAAACATCTAACATGCAAGGCAGAAAACAAAACAAGCAGCAAATAATCATCCATGCAGGGAGGTGAAAACTACAAAAAACTACCATTAACATAGTCAGAGATAAGGTTGATTACATCTGAAATAGAAGCAGAATATTATAAGTAAATAAAGGGAATAATCAAGAATAACAAAGAGCTCTTGGAAAAATAAAAATATATTTGTAGTAATAAAAATCTCAGAAAAGGGGTTTGAAGATATGGGGGACCTCTCCTATAAAGTAGGGCAAAAGACAGAGATCAAAAATAGAGAAAAGAGGATGAGTGTGGTGGCTCATGCCTATAATTCCTGCACTTTAGGACACCAAAGTGGGGGCATCACTCAAGCCTAAGAGTTCAAGACCAGCCTGAGCAACATAGTAAGACCCTGTTTCTACAAAATTAAAAAAAAAAATTATCCAGGCATGGTGATGCATGCCTGTAGCCCCAGCTACGTCTACTCAGGAGGCTGAGGAAGGAGGATTGCGTGAGCCCAGGAGGTCAAAGCTGAAGTGCACCAGCACCAGCCTGGGCCACAGAGTGAGATCACAGAATGAAACCCTGTTTCACACACACACACACACACACACACAAAAGAGAGTGATAGAGGGAGAAAGAAAAGAAAAGAGAAAAGAAAAAAAAAAGAAAAGAAAATTAGAGAATCAAAGGTGTCCAATATTCAAATAGTAGAAGTTTCAGAAAGAATAAATAGAGAAAATGGAGAAAAGGAAAGCATTAAAGAACAAATCCAAGAACAATTCCTACATTGAAAGCATACACTGATTGCCCAGAACAACAGATAAAAATGTACCCACATCAAGGCAGATCCTGAGAAGTTTCAGAACACTTGTATGAATATTTAAAACATAAGTAAAGTCACATAAAATAGAGCGGCCTTAGATTTTATTTCAGCTTTATTGAAGTGTATTTAACAAATAAAAATTGTATGTATTTAAGATGTACAACATGATGTTTTGATATATGTATACATTGTCAAATGATTACCACAATCAAGCAAATTAACACATCTCCCTTTTCACATAGTTATAATTTTTATGTGTGGTAACAATACTTAAGATCAATTTTCTTAGCAAATTTCAAGTATGCAATACAGTAGTATTATTAACTATAGTCATCATGCTATACAGTAGATCTTCAGAATATATTTATCCTGCATAACTAAATCTTCGTACCCTTTGACATCTCCCTATTTTACCTGCTCACCCACCTGTCCCTGGAAATCACAATTCTACTCTGCTTCTATGGGTTCAACTTTTTAAGATTCCACATATAAGTAAGATCCTGCAGTGTCTTTCTGTGTCTGGCTTATTTCACTTAGCATTATATCCTCCAGGTTTATTCATGCTATCTCAAATGACAGAATTTCCTTTTTTAAAGGCTGAATGATATTCCACTAAATAAAGTTCCATAGATATAATCTCACATTTTCTTTATTCATTCATCCAGCAACAGACACTTAGGTTGTTTTCATATCTTGATTATTGTGACTAATGCAGCAATGAACATGGAAGTTCAAAAAACTCTTTGACATATTGATTTCCTTTGCTCTGGATATATACCCAGAAGTGGGATTGCTGGATCTATTTTTCAAATTTTGAGGAACTTCCATACTATTTTTCATACTGGCTGTACTAATCATTCCCACCAATGTATAAAAGGGTTCTCTTTTCTTCACACCTTCACCAAAACTGATTTTTGTCCTTTTAATAATAGCCATTCTAACAGTAGTAAGATGATAACTCATTGTGGTTTTGATATGTTTTCCTGATGATTAATTATATTGAGCACTTTTTCATATATCTATTGGCCATTTGCATGTCTTCTTTGGAAAAATATCTTTTCAGATTCTTTCCCCACTTTTAGTTTTTTTTTGAGACAAGGTCTCACTCTATTTCCCAGGCTGGAGTGCAGTGGTGTGATCATAGCTTACTGCAGCCTCAAACTCCTGGCTCAAGGGATCCTCCTGCCTCAGCCTCCCATGTAGCTGGGATTACAAGTACGTGCCACCACACCACACCTGGCTAATTTTTTTTTTTTTAATAGAAAAGATCTTGTTATGTTGCCCAGGCTGGTCTTGAACTCCTGGACTCAAGCGATCCTCCCACCTTGGCCTCCCAAAGTGCTGGGATTACAGGCCTGAGCTGCTATGCCCAGCCCACTTTTTAATTAGATTATGTATTTTTTGCTCTTGAGTTATTTGAGTTCCTCATGTACTTTGGATATTAATCCTTCATTAGGTGTACAGTTTGGAAATATTTTCTCCCATTCCATAGGTTGATTTTTTTCCTTTTCTGTGCAGAAACTTTTCAGTCTGATGCAGTTTCATTTGTCTGTTTTTGCTTTTTTTTTTTGCCTGTGCTTTTGCTGTCACATACAAAGCATCATTGCTCAGAACAATGACAAGAAGCTTTATCCTTATGTTTTATTCTTAGTGTTTTACAGTTTCAGGTCTTACATTTAACTATTTAATCAATTTTGATATATTCAGGAGAGAGAAGATGGCAGATAGGAGGCAGGACTAACTTGCAGCTCCTGCTCAGACAGAGCAGTATGTGGGGACTTGCATCATGAACTTGCTCCAGAACTACTGCAGAAATATATCAGGGAAGCCAAGAAAACCCACAGGCCCTCTGAAGGAAGTGGATTGCTCCTGCAGGACCTGGGAGACAGCCCAAATTCTGTGAGTGCCCAAGCTGTGACAGTGAGAAAGGGGGATCATCCGCACCTGAACACACACTCTTACTGGGGAACCTGGAGGTATAGATCACAGGAGAAGGATTTGACCTTACCTGGAGCTGAGTCAATTTAGAGAGCCAAGTGAAATACGGGGTAGAGAAAGCAGCAGGAGAAGCCCTGTGGGCTCTCCAGGTCCCCAGGGAAACCATTTCTGATTTGTCTCACGTGAGTACTTGGGCAGGGCTGCCAGAGGAACTGGGAAAAGACCACAGGGAGAAGGAAACCTTCAGCTGAACTTTGTAACAATTCCAACTGAATACGAAGTCTCCTGGCCAGAACTTGAGGGAGGGCATGAATCCAGTGTACAGACTCAACAGGCCAGGAGGCACAGAAGTTCTGCTTGCTTTCTCAGCTGGTAGGCGGGTAGCCTGGGGCAAGTTCTCAGCCCTGCTCACCCACTGCCTGGAAACAAACTTGGTGCTGTTGTGGGGGGCACAGTGGGATTGAAAATAGCCTTTTTGGCTGTGTGGGAGCTGGATGAGGCCTGTAACTGCCAGCTTTCCTTAACTTCCCTCACAACCTACATGACACAACAGAGGCAGCCATAATCCTCCTGGAAACATAACTTCATTGAACCTGGAAACCACACCCCCATCTCCCACAGCAGCCACAGCAAGCCCCACCCAAGAAGAATCTGAGCTCAGACACACCTAGCACTGCCCCCACCTGATGATCCTTCCCCACCCACCCGGGACAAAGGGCTGAGGACAAAGAGCATAGTCTCTTGGGAGTTCTAGGGCCCCACGCACTGCCTGATCCCCCCTATACTACCACAGCTGATGCTCTCTTAAAAGCCCCACCTCCTGGTAGAGGACGACCAGCACAAAAATAGTGTATTAAACAACCAAAACTAAGGACCTCACAGAGTCTACTTCACTCCCCTGCCACCTCCACTGGAGCAGAAGCTGATACACATGGCTGAGAGACCTGAAGATGGTTCACATCATAGGACTCTGCAGACAGCCACCAGTGCCAGCCCAGAGCCTGGTAGCCCTGCTGGGTGGCCAGATTCAGAACAGAAATAACAATCACTACAGTATAGCTCTCAGGAAGCCACACCCCTAGGAAAAAGGGAAGAATACTACATTGGGGGGATACAAATGAGACAAAAGAATCTGAATAGCAGCCTTGAGCCCCAGATCTTCCCTCTGACATAGCCTACACAAATAAGAAGGAACCAGAAAAACAATTCTGGTGATATGATAAAACAAGGTTATTTAACACCCCCCAAAAATCACACTAGCTCAAGAGCAATGGATCCAAACTAAGAAGACATCCCTGATTTACCTAAAAAAGAATTCAGAAGGTCGATTATTAAGCTAATCAAGGAGACACCAGAGAAAGGTAAAGTCCAATTTAAGGAAATAAAAAAAAAAAGATACAAGATATGAGAGACGAAATCTTCAGTGAAACAGATAGCATAAATTAAAAAAATCATAACTTCAGGAAATAAGGAACACACTTAGAGAAATGCAAAATGTACTGGAAAGTCTCAGCAATAGAATCGAACAAGAAGAGGAAAGAACTTCACAGCTCGAAAACAAGGCTTTTGAATTGACCTAATCCAACAAAGACAAAGAAAAAATAATTTAAAAAAAAATGAACAAAGCCTCCAAGAAGTTTGGGATTATGTTAAATGACCAAACCTAAGAATAATTGGTGTTTCTGAGGAAGAAGAGAAATCCGAAAGCTTGGAAAACATATTTGGGGGAATAATCAAGGAAAACTTCCCTAGCCTTGCTAGCAACCTAGACATCCAAATACAAGAAGCTCAAAGAACACCCAGGAAATCCATCACAAAAAGACCATCACCTAGGCACATTGTCTTCAGGTTATATCTAAAGTCAAGATGAAGGAAAGAATCTCAAGAGCTGTGAGGCAAAACTACCAGGTAACCTAAAAGGAAAACTTACCAGATTAACAGCAGATTTCTCAGCAGAAACCCTACAATCAAGAGGGGATTGAGGGGGGTCTATCTTCAGCCTCTTTAAACAAAACAATTATCAGCCAAGAATTCTGTATCCAGGGAAATAAGCTCCATAAATGAAGGAAAGATACAGTCTTCTTTCCTTTAAACAAATGCTGAGAGAATTTGCCACTACCAACCCAGCACAATAAGCACTGCTAAAAAGGAGTTCTAAATCTTGAAACAAATCCTGGAAACACTTCAAAACAAAACCTCTTTAAAGAATAAATCTCACAGAACCTATAAAACAAAAATGTAATTTTAAAAACAGTCATACAGGCAAAAAATCATATGCATGAATGGAATAGTACTTCACATCTCAATACTAATGTGGAAGGTAAGTGGCGTTAATGCTCCACTTAAAAGATACAGAATTGCAGAATGGGTAAGAATTCATCCAACAAGTATCTGCTGCATTCAAGAGACTCACCTAACATAAGGATTCACATAAACTGAAGGTAAAGGGGTAGAAAAGGAGATTCCATGCAAATGGACACCAGAAGCAAGCACTCCGGAGTAGCTATTCTTATGTCAGAAAAATCAAACTTTAAAGCAATAGCAGTTCAAACAGACAAAGAGGGACATTACATAATGATAAAAGGCCTTGTCAAACAGGAAAATATCACAATCCTAAATAGATATGCACCTAACACTGGAGCTCCAAAATTTATAAAACAATTACTACTAGACCTAAGAAATGAGATAAACAGCAACACAATAATAGTGGGGCACTTCAATACTCCACTGACAGCACTAGACAGGTCATCAAGACAGAAAGTCAACAACAACAACAACAAAAAACAATGAATTTAAACTATACCCTAAAACAAGTGGACTCAACAGATATTTACAGAATATTCTACCCAACAACTGCAGAATATGCATTCTATTCATCAGCACATGGAACCTTCTCCAAGATGGACCATATGATAGGCCACAAAACAAGTGTCAATACATTTAAGAAAATTGAAATTATATCAAGTGCTTGCTCAGGCCACAGTGGAATAAAATTGGAAACCAACTCCAAAAGGAACCTTCAAAACCACACAAACAAATGAAAATCAAATAACCTCCTCCTGAATGATCATTGGGTCAACAATGAAATCAAGATGGAAATTTAAAAATCCTTTGAACTGAACAATAACACAACCTATCAAAACCTCTGGGATATGGCAAAGGTGGTGATAACAGGAAAGTTCATAGCCTTAAATGCCTTTACCAAACAGTCTGAAAGAGCACAAATGGACAATCTAATGTCACACCTCAAGGAACTAGAAAACAAGAACGAAACAAATCCAAACCCAGCAGAAGAAAGGAAATAACCAAGATCAGAGTATAACTAAATGAAATTGAAACAAAAAAGATACAAAAGATAAATGAAACAAAAAGCTGGTTCCCAGTACAGATGGATGTGGCTCCTCCCAGGTTCCTTGGTAAATGGGGCTGGATTTAGTACCATGGCCATATGCAGCTGGAGCTAGTCCATAATAAGTTGGTGTCACTTTTGGTCTGTAGCCAGGACTATGTTCATGAAGTCTGCCACTGTGGTCCAGGTCTGCCTTCTCAAAGTGGCTCTCCTTGGTCTTGGGCTTAACTTGGGTTTTGCAACCTCACACCTGAATCTCAAAGTTCTCACAATGGCATATTTGTCCATGAATGGCTTCCAGGTAACTGGGTGGAAGAACATGAGCTGGGAACCTCCTATTTTGCCATCTTGCTGACCTGAATTTCTTAACAACACTGTAACAATGACATTCAAAATTCTATAGGAAAGTGCCCTCCCACTCAGAATTCAATATACAACCACACTACAATTAAGTGTGATGATAGATTGTACATGGTGATATAGACCACACATGACAATGATAGACATACAAGGAGTCAAAATATTTACACACATACACTGTCTTTGCAGCCTTTCATGAGAAATTACTGAAAGGGATATTCTGCCAAATGAGGGTGTAGTAACAGGAAGCAAATCATAACTCACTTGCTTTTGAATCCCCTACTTCTCTTCCTTCCTGGTCTCGTCACAGGTCTTTCTTGGTCTATACTTTATACTTTTATTGTTGACATCCTTCCTGAATACTTTAGGGTTTGAATACAAGTGTGGTGTGAGTTCACATGCCAGGAACTATTTATATATTATCTTATCATATCTGACAACACCATCATGAGTTATACATTATTATCCCCGTTTTACGGAAAAGGAGATTGAGATTCAGAGGGGCTAAGGGACATGCCCTTCTTTGAATGGCTTGACACTGCCAGGCCTGAGAGTGAGCGAAACAAATGCAACCATAGAATCATCTTTTTAACAGAGCTGTAAGCTCTGCAGCTGGGAATAACAGTATGTATGGATGTATTCTCCCTCTCAGTTGCTTTTCAGTATATGACCCAATGGTGATGGAGATATGTAAATGTTTTTATTAATTTTAAAAAGCATCTTTTTGACAGCATCCATTTAGGAATATGGGAGATATATAATACATACGATACATATGCATGATATTATTGTATATATAATTGCATTATAGTAATATATGTTTGGGAAATCCTATATTTATAAGATTATACAAGAACACACAAAAAATGCATTCTAATCCCCATGTGGTTTAAATGTAGCAATTGAGAGTTTTTTAAGCACAGCTAATTATTTTTTATGATACAGGAACAGTCCAAGGATGTTCATTGCACATAAATATAAGATCATGCAACAATTATTCCTTCATAGGGCTTGTGTTGTACAACTCAAGGTTTAACAATCCCATCTGGATGCTGCAAACAGATGTGCCTGGTCCTTTTAAAAGACAAAGGCATTTCCCTGAACGACTTCATTTATTTCCTGCTAAAGCAGTCATGCTAATCATGAGTTCCCCTTGCCTTGCAATATTCAAAGGACAGTCTCTTCTCACGATGAACCAGGAAGCAATATGTTGTATGGAAAATTCGCCTGATCAAATTATCCTAACCTTGAGATGTTTTTAAAGTAGAATCAGTGTGAAAACTGCCTGTCGGCATTCCTCCAAGTTTCCTGAGAAATTTCCACCACCTGAACTGTTTAATCATGACTTTACTTTCCTTGCATCTTATTTTTTGGCCACTGAAAGGACCTT
This sequence comes from Homo sapiens, assembly GCF_000001405.40. Classification (NCBI taxonomy): domain Eukaryota; kingdom Metazoa; phylum Chordata; class Mammalia; order Primates; family Hominidae; genus Homo; species Homo sapiens. The sequence continues at coordinate 71,192,005 of NC_000012.12, forward strand.
TGTTTATTTCAGCTGTAGCAAACAGAAGGATTGGCATAACACCGGGGCATTTTAATAATAAACCATATCCTCCAGAGTCAGCAAATGATAATTTATTTCTGTTTCTTTAAATATCTTGGTTTTTTTTTTAGAGCAATTTTAAGTTCACAGTAAAATTGAGAAGTACTGATTTCCCATATACTCCCTTCCCCCATACATGCATAACCTCCCCGACAGAAGTGGTATGTTTGTTACAATTGATGAACCTACACTGATACACCATTGCCACCCAAAGACAATAGTCTACATTAGGGTTCACTCTTGGTATTGTACATTCTATGAATTTGGACAAATATATACTCACATGTATTCACCATTATAATATCATATAGTTTCAGTGCCCTAAAAATCCTCTGTTCTCCACCTATTCATTGTTGGTCATTTCTTTTAAAAATCATATAAAGTCAAATTTTCCTTTTAAAGAACCCAGATGTATTAAGGAAATCAAAAATAGAGTATATGTGTGCATGCTATATGCACCATCTTCAGAGAGTTCTGCCTACTTTACAGACTTTTTTCTTTATACAAGGAAGATTCTAGAAGTTGTCTAAGTTTATTTTGTTAGAAAGTAAATAAGAACAAATTTGCACACAGATGCCAGCTAAACCCACAGCAGACTTTAAAATACAAAACAGTTCCACATTTGTAATTATGCAAAACATCACAAATATGAGACCGTTACACCCAAGGGAAACACACAAATTTAAAAATCTCATCACTTTCGTGACTTTCAGAGACTTGCACTCTTCTTCCATTTCATGCTACATCATGTGTTACTGTTTCATCAAAGCAAACAGTTTGTTTCATTTAAAATTTCTTCAATGAGCTTAGTGAGAACAGCTGCAATGCAGTTCTCTCCCCTCACATTGATACTACTGAGTATTCTATCTTGTTCTGTTTCCACTCTAAACTTGATTAACCATATTTGCAAAACTCTGCTTAGCTACCTGTCTCCATAACTAATTGTTGTTTCCCCCAGGTGAGTAGAATAGTGGATAAACAACATCAGTATACTTTTTATAGGAAGAACAAATAAGCTACTAATTACAAAGGAGGGAAGGAAGGAAGGAAGGAAGGAAGGAAGGAAGGAAGGAAGGAAGGAAGGAAGGAAGGAAGAGAGGGAGGGAGGGAGGGAGGGGAGGGGGGCAGAAGAAAGGAAAAGAACTTTACCCGGATCATTTTTTTTCCTTTTTTGGCATGACCCATCAACATAATAGTTAGATTGTCATTAGCATAAATCAGTTACTCTGGGACAGCAGTCAAGGCAGAGGCAAGAAGTATCTATTAATATTTGTCTCCCCTGGCTTTAGTATATAAACTATAGTGATGAATCTTACAGATGTTACTAATCATGACATTATCTGGCCAAGGTACATACTCCCCAAGATGGAAGGGATAAAGCACCCCATTCCCTGACCTCTTGCTGCCATCGTTTTAATAATTGACTTCACTACACTATGTTTCAAACTGGTTACAATTCAACAAACTCTTTTTCTTCAAGAAACAAAGATGTATGGACAAAAGTCAAAGAATAATTAAATAACACATTTAAGCCATAATATAAATGCACTCTGCTTTAATAGACTAATCAGATGCTCATCCATACATTGCACATAGAATTACCATTAATGAAGTAGAACTGCCAAGACTGAATCCTGGAAATCAATTAAAGGAAATGCCAACACTAAATTTACACACAGTTTGGATGTATAGAATTAATCCCTTAATTCTCTTTAATTTCACACATCTGGTACTCTTTATTCCTGTGAATTTCCATATACAAAGAATTACTAAAGACTAAACTTTGCATTGTTCTCTAAAACAATATGGTTTCTTTGGAGTTGCCTAAGATGCAACTTTGCAAACATGCCTCTTTGTTAGGGTAACATGTTAAGAAGAGTAGAAATTCATCACCTCTAAAAGATATGGTTATAAAAATCCAGCAATGCAGAAACTTCAGTGTCAAAAGCCGTTAACTCTAATACACACTGCCAAACCACTGGTAGCAAACTATATATACATGACACCCTTGATCAGAGGTATGTTACCACCTAAGCACATCTTATGTTGTAAAAGGGTCCTTTCTCTGGAAAAAAAATTCTGTATAGAACAGAAATGTATGCATTTGGGATCCAATAATTATGAATGGAAATCTAGGGGCAATAGATGCATTCAATATTAATTCCAAGCTTCATCTAATAATAACCCTGTCCTCCCAAGTGAAAGAGATGAAAAAAGTTCCTCCAAGATCCTGTTAATTTTACTGCCTACTGATGAAAAAAGGGAATACATTAGATCCGATTTAATTAGCTAAATGCCCTTACTTAGTTTTTCCAGGAAAATGAGTAAAAAGAGCCCCTACCTGAAATCTGTAAGACTACTCTTCATAACATCATATGCATGGCAGTCTCATTACTAAGAAGCAAAATAATGAAATAAGGTATTGGGATACCTGGTGTCTAGTCCTAGTTTTGCCATTCAGTAGCTATATGATAAGAAACTTGTTTAATTTCTCTGGGTTTTCATTTGTTTACATTTTGCTAATGGATGGGAATTATATCTGTCTGTCTTGCTTTATTCTGTCTTTCATTATTTATAATGGTTTCTAAACTCAGTTACAAAACTGTATAAAGGGCAGAAAAATTATATTATAGAACTAATAATGTTATCAACTTCCATTACATTTATTTCTATTTCTATTCCATTATTTCCTTAAGGTCACTGGTGACACACAACCATTACTAAGCAACATAGACAGCTTGTCAGGATCACAGGCAAATGTGAGCCAGATTGTCCAGTATGAATATCTACTGATGCAATTAATCAAGCTGGCAGACCTTCCTGGGAAAACAAGTGCCTACATCGAGAAAATGGCATGTATGCGTTTAACAGTGATTTCCAGGCAGCTCTCCTGGTTGATATCAGATGAGTGACTAAATTAGGGTTAAGCAAACTTTTTCTGTAAAAGTCTAGATAACAAATACTTTAGGCTTTGCAGGTCTTTGTCACAGCAACTCAACATAGCCACTGTAGTACAAAAGCAGCTATAGACAATACATAAATGAATAAGCAATGAATAAAGTGTTCCAATAAAACTTTATTTGTGGTCACTGATATTTGAATTTCATATACTTTTCACACGTCATGAAATATTCTGCTTCTTTTTATATTTTCTGACTTTAAAAAATATAAAAACCATTCTTAGCCATTGGGCATACAAAAGCAAGTGTTAGCCTTGATTTAGCCCAAGGGCCTTAGTTTGCCAATCCTTAGATGAATATTAAGAAATTATAGAGATTATCTATGTGCAATCTGTTGAGATTTCTGCTCGGGTTATATTGCTTGATTATTAATTGTTCTCAGCACTGATTACCCTTTGTAATGCATGATGATTTGATCTGTGGATTGGGGACACTGCATGAGGTGAATACATGAGAGAGAAAGGAAATCTCCCCTGTGGCACTGAGGGAGAGAGACTAGCAGTGGAGTGCATTGAGTCCTAAACCAGGTGGCAGGTGCTCTGATACACAGAACCACCATGAGACTACGGAAAGATAAAGGCAGGAGCCCAGACACAATCAAGGCAATGCCACACCATCTGCAAATAAAGCACATCATTCTCTCATCTTACAGAGCTTATCTAATACATTAACTGTCACTTCTTTCCAAACTGGCTTGACAGGTTTTGGGGGCTCCCTGACTACAGCCAACAGTAACATTCTAACATGAACACTCTGTCTTGTCTCTAACACCCTTTGGAAATTGCGAATACTTCTCAAAGAGGTAACTCTGTAAGTCGCCAATGTTAGTTTTGACCAGGTTGTTTTACTTGGTGCTTGGAGCAAACGGGAACAGCAGGTAGAGGTGGAAGGTGATCCGTCATTCAGGGAGGAGAAAGAAGGTCAAAAACAGGAAGGAGGCACCTAAGCTTTGTCAGTTTCAGAGTTTAAGCTAACTGGATTCCTACCATTCATTCTACAGTATTTACTGGGCTCCTGCTGAATTCAAAGTGTTTGGCAAGTGGAGCCTTTACCTTCACTATGCTTACAAACATGTAAACATGGCTAAGGCATTCTTTCTGTGTTCCTAACAGCTAACGTCAAATAAAGTCAATTGTACTCTAGTAAGAAAACCAAAGTTAATTAATAATTTCTGAAGTATACATTTGCATTCAAAGCAACCCATAATGAAACCTGTAGTGTAATGATATACTTAGCTGAGTGCCTAACAGATGATTTTTCTACATTTGTAACCAGAATACCTTGGTTATTCAATACTAATATAATGGTTGTAATGGTTCATCAATCTTGTACAAGGAAAATACATAAGAGGAATAATCCCAATCTTAGTTTGGCAGGAATTCCTACTATTTGCTTCACTAATATTTTGTAGTAGGAATAAAGCTTAACACATTCTCTGTGGAACACTCAACTCATTAAAATACACAACAATTACCATGTTGCCACTAACAGTGGAAAGACAGATCAGTCGGAAATGCCTAAAAATTTAGGGTAACACCAGGTATGAAATAAACTTTAGAGTCAGATGGGCCCAGATATGAGTCCCAGCTCAGTGGTCTAAGAACAGTGAGACCTTGGGCAAATGATGTCCACTTCCCAGACCTCAGTTTCCTCATCTGCAAAACAAGGGTAAGAATTCTTACCCATAGGTGGTTGTGAGCATTCCATGACATGTTGTCTATATGAGTGCTTAGGACAGTGTCTAGCACAGAGAAGGCTTCCAATCAATGTCAATTCTTCTTAAGAGACTATATTATGCTATGTTCTATAGGAAAGCCTTGAAAATAGGACTAGAACTCATAGTCACTGGCTTTTGGGTTAACAGAGGTTATATAGCAATCCTCTTTCCCCTGCTTCAAGTAAGCAGGCCTAGAGAAACAAATTTAGGTATTTTTTTTTTTTTTTTGTAACTGAGGACCTAGCAATGATTCTGTCTATATTTGAATACTGTCACTTACTATAGCTATTTGACCTTGCAAGTATAAAAAATAAAACCCTTTTTATGCTTCAGTCTTATCTTTCAAACCAAAATAATAGTAGTATCTAACTCTTAGACCCTTAGGGTTATTGTGTAGAAATATTTATATATCCACATATATATAGTTTGGTAACAATAATAATCCTAAGTAAGTATGTGTTAGCCATTATGATTAACTTTGACATGCTGGACATTAATAATAAGTATATATAAAAAGTATAATGATGCTAAAAGATTGAGAAGGTATAGGGGAGTCAGCCCAGTATATAAAGAAAGATTTATTCACTTAAGATTTATTCACTTAAGAAATCATTATTAAGTATTGCCATGTGCCAGAGCGTGTGTGTGTGTGTGTGTGTGTGTGTGTGTGTATGTGTGTGTGTGTGTTTGCCCTTCAAGGTTAGGGGATACACATATAATATACACCTATAAAGTTATTTGCTTGGCTTTTGAATTTTAAATAACTCTGTTATAAAGTTACACTATTTATAGTATAAATAAAGACACCTTTTGCCTCTTTCTCTTAAAATCTGAAGGCAGAGAAAAACAACTGAGTTTATTGAGTCATGTTTTCTTAGTCATAGTACCATCATAGATATGTTCCTTTAGTTAGTTCTGTAGGAGTCCTCCCTCTTCCATGTCTCACCTTAGCTTTGGATGGAGGTTGTACCATCCCTTTCTCACTGTGTCATATAGGATGTAGCTCATTGAAGAAGTCCCTATACTTGGAAACTACACTTAAATGTACCTTCTATAAAGGATCTAAAGTTCCATATAAGACAATGGGTAGCTATAGGCCAAGAGGAAACTGAAATAATTCTTAAAAACCCAAACCTAACATACTATGACAGACTCAGATTTCGGAAGTGTAAGCTCCAGTTTATAGTAAATAATGAAAGCAGATTGCCCTTAAAGAAGCTGTCACTTTGGTTATTGTTTTTCAGGGCTGGGGAGTGGTAAGGTGGACTTGTAATATGTTTTATTCAAGTCATCACTTAAGACTTAAAATATCTTTTTGCTAAAGATGACTAATAAAAATGAAATATGAAAGCTAATGTTCGGATGCCAGGTGCAGTGGCTCACACCTGTAATCCCAGCAATTTGGGAGGCCGAGGCAGGAAGATCACTTGAGGCCAAGAGTTCAAGACCAGCCTGAGAAACATAGTGAGATCCTATCTCTACAAAAAGTTTAAAAATTAGCCAGGGGTGGTGGCACATGCCTGTAATCCCAGCTACTCTGGAGGCTGAAGTGATAAGATAGCTTGAGCTCAGGAGTTTGAGGTTTTAGTGGGCCATGATTAAAGCACTGCATTCCAGCCTGGGCAACAGAGTGAGACCCTGTCTCTTAAAAACAGAAACAATAACAAAAACCTAAGTTTCGGAGTCAAGGTGGCAATTGATCAAAGTGGCACTATAGTGAATCCAATTCAATCTGTGCACTCACTTGATTACAGCAGCTGTGCTCCCTCTCATTACTTTCCAGATGAAGTCCAGAGCTCTCTTAGACTTCTTTGGATGTGAGGCTCAGGGGACAGTGAAAGCTACCTACCTAGGGTTCCACTGCTTGAAGAACCCTTCATCCTAACTTGCCCTGTGGTAGCAGCAGAAGCAGAAGGTCCTAGCTCTCCCAGATCACAGACAATCACTTTCTGGTGACCTGCACAGCCACTTCCCAGAGGACTGATCCTTTCCTTCACCACATGACACCAAGATGCTACTTGAGCCCACTTTCTCCCTTAGGCTAAAGGAAGCTTTCCTAGATTGTAGTTTGAAACTGTCAACACATAAAAGAACTAATTACATGCTTCCATCAGGAAAACACTTCCTACTTTCTCACAGTTATAGGAGGTAAACTAATTAAATATTTTCTACAGAATAAAGTAGTTTTGTTTGTCTTTCTTGCAAATAACACATTCTCTGCAAAGAAGAAAAAAACAGTCATCTCTAGAGAAGCTCTCTCTGTTTAGACATTTGCTCACAGCAATTAAAAGGGGCCTCTGGCTGACCAGGAAGAATCCAACTTGGGAAAATTACAAACCACATATTAACTACAGTGGTGTCAGTGCATTTTGGCATCCTTGTTTCAAAAGCAAAAACCAAAAAGCCACTCTTTTTGTTTTTTTGTTTTTGTTTTTCCTTGAAAAGCTTGCATTAATTCAGGAGGGTAACTTAATATCCATGACATCCTAACAGTGAGAGAAAACAGTAGAGAATCTTTTCCTAAAGTCCGAACAGAAATCAGATTGTGAATATGTGCTTATGTGCAAAGGACTTCATCTGGAAAGTAATGAGAGGGAGCACAGCTGCTGTAAGCAAGTGAGTGCATAGATTGAATTGGATTCACCATAGCAATTAGTCAAAACTAGTACAGAGGAAGGACTAGAAAGAAGCAGGAGGCAAAAACTAAGGTCAGCATTTAGAGGATCTATTTCTCTGGGACAGAAAAAGTCAGAACAAATCCCAGAGACATTTCAGAATGGAACCTCCAATATGCAGTTGTCATTCTGATGTAGGCCACGGTTGTGAGGAAGGGGATAGGCACATGATGAAAGCCTTATTGATCCTATTACTCAGTCCTGGAACTTGCAGGGAGAAGAATGATTGGCCTTCTTGAGTATATTCTCAAGAAGTAGCTCATATTCAAGGGTAGGTAAGCTGTGATGAAAGAGAGGAAATAAGGCAATACAACTGAAACATTCTGTGTTCACATCTTAAGTTAGATGGAGGAGGTGGTTAAAGCAAGGCCCCTTTTGTTATGTGCGGGACCCCTCACCAACCAATGCCCAGGCTCTGCTGCAACTTAGCACTGTCTCTCAACTGATTTTCACTGTTATCTGAACCTGTCTATCTCTCTTTTAAGGCCATATTAATTTATCATCATAAAAAACAATTATCCACCTATGGTCACAGTGCTGACTTTTGGGGGAAAAGCTACAAGGCCCACTGATAGGATTAGGAGCAACCCAACTCAGTAAGAGTTAGTCAGGCAGATACAGATGATGTTTCAGAAGAGAAATTCCAACAAGAAGGAGCTCAATTCCCATGGTTTGGCAAAAGGCAGCAAACAAAATGATCCTCATATTTTCTTGATTCGATGAGGCCATGAATTGTGAAATGTGCCATATTAATATCAGATTTTCAGGATAGCAGGGTGAAGGGGAGGGAGCCACCCAATTAAAAATATACATCATTTGTAACATATTTTCTAATTTCATAAATATTTTTAAAAATATGCATCTTAGAATGAGAAAATAAAGTACAGTTGACCCATGAATAAAGCAGGTTTGAACTGTGTGGGTTCACCTATTCACTGATTTTTTTTTCAATAAATACATTGGAAAATTTTTTAGAGATATGTGACAATTTGAAAAAAACAGACAACTGTATAGCCTAGAAATACTGAAAAATTAAGAAAAAGATATGTTGTGAATGCATAAAATATGTCTATTTTATCATTAAATACTATAAAATATATACAAATTTTTTAAAGTTAAAATTTATCAAAACTTACACACACAAACACAGACCTTACACAGGGTCTGTGTGTCATTTGCAGTTTAGAGAAATGTAAACAAATGTAAAGATGCAGTATTAACTCACAGTTGCATAAAATTAACTGTAGTACATACTGCACAACTGTAATAATTTCATAGCCACCTCCCATTGCTACTGGGGTGAACTCAAATGTTGCAAGCATTGGCTTAAAATGCGGAGTGACCTTGAGCAGTGCATCTCTCCAGTAAACTGTATATTGCAGTAAAAAGTGATCTCTTGCAGTTCTCACATATTTTTCATCATTTAGTACAGTATCTTAAATCTTGAATAACAACACCATGGTTCCCATATGTAGTGCTACTAGTGATGCTGGAAGTGTTCCCAAGAAGTGGAAAACAGTCATGGCATTACAAGAAAAAGCTGAATTTCTTGATATGTACCATAGAGTGAGGTCTGCAGCTGCAGTCGCCCTCCATTTCAGACAGATAATTCATCTTGTAAACAGATAGCATAAACTCACAATTGATAAATACAGTACATTACTATAAATGTATTATTTTAAATAATTTTCTTAACATTTTCTTCTCTTTATCTTACTTTATTGTAAGAATATAGTATATAATGCACATAACATACAGAACATGTGTTACTCTATTATTTATGTATGTATCGGTAAGGCTTCCAGTCAACAGTAGGCTATTAGTGGTTAAGTTTTTGGATACTCAAAAGGTATATGCAAATTTTTGACTGCATGAGGTAACAGTGTCCCTAATCCCCTCTTTGTTCAAGGGCCAACTGTAATTACAACCACAAAATAAAAGATTAAGTACAATAGCCAAGGGAAATTGGGTTCATTCTCTCATTTATTTACTTTTCTTATATGCCAGGCTCATGCTGTGTTCTGGAATTACAAAGCTGAACAAAGCAAAAAATCCCTCAGCCTGAGGTGAAGACAGACATGTAAACAAATTTAAAAGGGACCTCTGAGAGACAGTGCAACTCAGTGGTTCAAAACCTGACTGGCTATGTTCAGGTTCTAGGTGTGCCATTTATTAGCTGGGCTTCAGGGTGTTACTAAACCTGTATGCTCCTGTTTCATCAGCTATAAAATGAAGGGGTAATAACTGTACTTATCCTTGTAAAGTAGTAGGAAGAATTAAATCAGTTAACGTATGTAAAATGCTTAATGGTTTTGGACACATAATAAAAGTTGTCTCAATATTGCTATGTAAAGGATGCAATAGGATTAGAGCCTGTAACTGTGCATGGAAAGAGTCCAGGGAAGGCCTTGCAAAGAGGTGTGAAGAAGGACTGAAGGAATATGAATTCATTAGGCAGATGAGAGAGAGAAAGATTTTATTGTTGGGATGCCATGAGAAAGCATGTCACATTTTAGGAACCTAAAAGAGAAGATGGGATCCAGCAAATGAGACAAACTAGATAAAGTTACTTTGGATCATGAGATGATTTTGCATCAGAGTAGTTTGGATGTAGACAACAAAACCAAATTCTTGCCAACTTAAGCCAAAGAGTAGAGGAACAAGGAAAAGATGCTTTATGAGAAGGAAGTGGATGGCATACAGAAGCAAAGAAAACATTGAATGAGCATGTTTTTGAAAAAATCAAGGATAGTTAAAGGAATTTAGATAAAACAGTAATCCTCCCTTTACCCTTGAGAGATACATCCATCTGAAGACCCCAGGTGGATGACTAATACCACGGATAGTACCAAACACTATTTATGCTATGTTTATTCTTATACATGCATACCTATGTTAAGGTTTATATATATATATATATATATATATATATATATATATATATACACACACACACACATATTTTTTTTTTCAAGACAGCAGATTGAAGTCATTGTTAGCATACCTCTCCCACTTGGAAAGACAAAATAGTAAGAAGAGATTCACATTGTGAACTTTTTTCCAAGAAGCAACACAGGAACTTAACAGGAAAACTGAAAGAAATCACACGTTTGAAAGAAGCAGTGGGCTGCAGCCTACACCGTGAGCCAGTCAAAAAACTAGGAGTCCTGAGAGTATGACAGGGGAATAAACTGCCTCTGGGATATACATTCCCATCAGAGAACCTGGCAGTCCAGGCCATGGGGAGGCCTTAACCCTGCCCAGCATAGGAGCTGATTTAGTGAGCGGTGGGGAGTATGTGAGGAGTGGCATTGGGACATGCTTTGCATGTACTCCCAGTCTCTAGTGGGGATGGAGGGAAGCCATTCCTGATCCTACCTCATAGGTAATCTCCCAGAAATTGGTTAGGTAGCATAGGCGGTAGTCACAGGTTGAGAGAAGCTCTCAACTGAGATTCACAATATTATCTCAGGTGGGGAGAAACTTCCTTGGCCAGAACTGAAGGGCAAGTGAGAAGTGTGCTACAGCCACAAATGCAAAAGCTGGGTGGCAGACCAAGAGGTGCATGGCCTGAAAGCCCCAGTTGCTGTCTCCCTAGGGAGGATTTATGGCATGGGGCACTTTTGGGTTCTGAGCACACACTGCCTGGAGCCTAGCTAGCTGCTGCTGGTAGAATGCTGCTGGAGTAAGAACTGCCTTGCTACATATGTGGGAGCTAACCAGGAGGTTGTGAGTCTGTCCATAGGACCTGTTCATTACTACTATACCTGGCATTTGAGAAAGTAAACACGTTAAGGCTATTTATAACCAAGGAATTTTGCAAAGTCTATGTCACTCCCTGCCACCCCATCACAGCTGGTGCTGTTACCCACTGCTTGGAGACTTGAGGACAGGTCATATTACTGGCCTTGCTAGAGATTTAGATATCCAAACAGAAGAAGCTCAAAGAACTCCTGGGAGATAAATTGCTAAAAGGATATCACCAGGGTATATATTCATCAGGCTATCTAAAATCAACATGAAAGAAAGAATTCTAAGAGCAGTGAGACAAAAGCATCATGTAACCTATAAAGGAAAACTTATCAGACTAACAGCAGAATTCTCAGCAGAAACATTACAAAGCAGAAGGGCTTGGGGTCCTATATTTAGCCTCATTAAACAGAATTACTGTAAGCCCAAAATTTTGTATCCAGCAAAACTAAGTTTTATAAATGAAGAAATAAGATCTTTCTCAGACAAGCAAATGCTGAGGAAATTTGTCACTACCAGACCAATTCTATTAGAAATGCTGAAAGGAGTTCTAAATCTTGAAACAAAAGGTCAATATTCACCAGAATGGAACTCTTGAAAGCATCAAACCCATATGGCCTAGAAAACAATAACAAAATGAAACAAAAAAAACAACAACAAAGTATCTAGGTAACAATCAACATAACGACTGGCACAGTACCTTGCATCTCAATATTAGTGTTGAACATAAATGGTCTAAATGCTCCACTTAATAGATACAGATTGGTAAAATGGATTAAAAAATCACAAGCCAAATATCTGCTATCTTCAAGAGACTCACCTAACACGTAAGGATTCTTATAGATTCAAGGTAAAGGAGAGGAAAAAGATATTCCATCCAAATAGAAACCAAAGCAAGGAGGAGTCACTTACTTTAAAGCAATAATAGTAAAAAAAAAAAGAAGCAAAGAAGATTATTACATTACATAACGATAGAATATAATGATAGAATGATTCCTGCAACAAGAAGATATTACAATCCAAAATGCATATGCATCTAATTCTGGAGATCTCAAATTACCACTAGACCTGAGAAGAGAGATAGAGAGCCACACAATAATAGTGGGGGACTTCAGCATTCACTGACAGCACTAGAAAGATTATCCAGGCAGAAAGTCAGCAAAGAAACAATGAACTTAAACTTCACTCTAGAACAAATGGATGTAACAGATATTTACAGAACATTCTATCCAAGAACTGCAAAATATACATTCTTCTCATCAGTATATAAAACATTCTCCAAGATAGAGCATACAATAGGACACAAAACAAGTCTTAATAAATTTTTAAAATTGAAATTATACCAATATGATTTTATGGAAGCTGCAAAAAAATAAAATATTAATACCAAGGAATATACTTAACCAAGAAAATGAAAGATTGCTACAAGGAGAACTACAAAACACTGCTGAAAGAAATCGTAGATAACAGAAAAAAATGGAAATACATCCCATGCTTATGGAGCAGAAAGAAAAATATCATGCAAATGACCATACTATGCAAAGCACTCTGTAGATTCAATGGAATTCCTATCAAACTACCAACATCATTTTTCAGAGAATTAGAAAAAACAACCATGAAATTCATATGGAATCAAAGAAGAGCCCAAATAACCAAAACAATCCTAAGCAAAAAGAACAAATCTGGAGGCATCACATTACCTGACTTCAAATTATATCACAAGACTACAGTTACCAAAACAGCACGGTACTGGTATAAAGCAGATACATAGACCAATGGAACAGAACAGAGAACCAGAAATAAAGCCAAATACTTACAACCAACTGTTCATCAACAAAGCATATAAAATATAAATTGGGGAAAGGACACTCTATTTAATAAATGGTTCTGGAAAACTGGATAGCCACATGTAGAAAAATGAAACTCAATTCCTATATTTTACCATATTAAAAAAATCAACTGAAGATGGATTGTAGACTTAAATCTATGACCTAAAAACATAAGAATTCTAGAAGACAACCTGGGAAAAACTCTTCTTGGCATTGGCCTGTTAAAGCAAACTAAACATGGCCTGAGAAGGACTCTGTATTTCTATATCTGAGCCCTTGTGGATGAACTGCAACCTAGCTTTTAATAGGTAGACAAGACTGAAAACCTAACTTAGGAGTATGTGCCTGTAACAATAGCTGAGTTTTGGCCAATCCTAGCAGCTGTACTTTAACCATTCATACACTGCTGAGTGTTCAAACTGTGTTGAAATAAGGCAAACACCGAGCTATAACCAATCCAGCCATTCTGTAGCTCACTTCTGATTTCTGTACATCATTTCCTTTTTTTTGGTCTATAAATCTTCTTCCACCACGTGGCTGCACTGGAGTCTCTGTGAATCTGCTGTGATTCTGGAGCTGCCCAATTCACCAATTGTTCATTGCTCAATTAAATTCCTTTAAATTTCATTTGGCCAAAGTTTTTCTTTAATCAGATGGTGTCAGAAGCAGCAACTGAAGTAGAGCTTCTGGCGACCCCCAGGAGCACTGAGTGAACAAGCAAGGTACCTGCAGGACCCATTTGTGTCCACTGATGTCTCAGAGTAGCTGGGGATCATGAGTAAGTGCTCTCTCGGATTTCAGAGCCACATATTTGTGTTTTGAGCCATTGGAGTTTCTTTGAGTAAATTTCTGATCCAAACTGGGTTTGAAAGTTGTGACAGCAACTGGGCTGGGTCCAGGAATGGATTTGATCTGGGAATTAACTGGCTTGGATCCAATTAGAGACCTCTTACATCTGACTGGGTCAGAAAGGAACTGGCAGTTAGCAGTAATATTGCAGGAGTCATAAAATACGGCTTTTGAAAATTCACAGGGATTTTTGTGTCCTACCCCTTTGTTTCATTTTTCTTGCATGCCTAAGTAGGAAAAATTATTGGCTAAGTTAATCGGGAGAACCTAAGAGTAAAGCCAATATTTTAGGTAAAATGGGATCCTTAATCTCTTGAAAACTGAGTTCCTTCTGGTCTATGCATTAGGTCTTGGATGCAGTGAAGTCTTACAGAAATGGTAAAATCTTACTAAAGATAACTTACAGTGTAACATTCTGAATGAATTACAATGCATTGAAGTACATCTAAAAATAAGGGCTCTTGGTAAAGTCCCCTTTGGCTAAGAACGGGTTTGGCCCTATGGGATGTTAACTGTTATTCTCTTTGGATTAATCTGCCTTCCACTCTTTGCTGATGGCTAACGGTGACAGGATTAGGCATGTACAGGATTACAGGACATGGTGAGCTTTTTCCTTCCTAAAAGGGGAAACTTGAGAGCTGATGGGATTGCTGGAAAAGATCCTGTCACAACCAACAAGCAGCCACCGGAACTTTTCAGTGTCGCTGCAATGGGTGGGTCTTTCTCTGGCCTCCCTGAGGTCTTCACTTCCCCTTCCTGCCACAGGTAATGCTTTTTTTTCTCTCTCTCTCTTATCTTTTTTTTATTACTCAGGGCAACCATGTTGCCCAGAGACCACATGTTGAAACTCCTAGTCAGAGGTTGGATTAAAGATGGCAGGGCCCATCTGAGGGTAAATTTAAGCCTTGCCATTTGATATTGGGTGCTAAGCAAAGTGACAAATGTCTATGTCTTGTCAAATGTATTTTGCTCTGGCCAGAATGAAAAAAGATAATTTTGTTTTATGATGTAGCTTGGCCCCCCAGGGGATGGTGCAGCAAGTCAGGTCATTAGGGCTGCTCAGGGAAAGAAAACCCAGAAGCCTGGCATGCTGGCAAAAGGGTAAGAATTTCTTACCAGTCAGACTTCTGGCCTCTGACTCTCTCTCTGTGCAAACCAGTTGAATGAATGGTAAAAATCACTGTTTATCTCTTCTGTACAGTTTGGATTAATACAAAAAAAAATCTGAGTCTGGTCTTAAGCTATAGTGAATCTGGTGTGCTTTGTGTGGCTTTCTGTATTGTTCTGTCACAAAGAGGGGTGGGTACCTTGGGATAAAATGTGTGCCTAAAACCCCATGTGCCTGCTGTTCAAGACAGCCCAACAAACTGGTCAGTTATGTCCTTGGGAGCTTGACCTTGTAACTATGTGGCTGTGCTTTCTCTTTTCACAATGGTGGCCTGGGTTCAGGTTTCAATCCCTAGCTTAGGGGATGAAACTTTCTAATTGATATTTGGGTGACCTTTGCCATTTTAAAATTATAGTCCCCTCTACAAACTGTCTTGAATTTCCCTGTCTCAAAGCACCTGTGAGGTTACTTTCAATAAAGTTAAAAAGCCAGAAATATTGGCCATTTGGCCTGGGTAAAGTCAAGTAATAAGAATGTTTAAAAGGACTTTATTAAAGAGTGTTATGGTTAAAAGTCAGCTTAATTAAAAGTAGATATTCAGGCTCTAACAGCCTGAGACTCCTTGGAAAAAACAGGAGGCACCAGAGACCCTTTCCTGGACCTGTTTTTCCAAGGACTCCATCTGAAAGCCAATAATCCAATTAAGAAAATTAATAACTGGCAAATGAAAAATTTTACAACTACTGTAGTAATCTTCTGTCTGTCTAGGTAGTTTTATATACGTATTGTGTGTGTAATGTTTATATGTGAAAGAGTTTTAACTAATTGGTTTAATAATAATAAGTGCTTAAATCAAATATTTTGTCAGAAATGTAAAAAGTATAATGCCTTTTATTTAGTTCATGTAACTTTAGTATTCTTTGGTAAGTAAAGACAGTTTAAAAGATTATTGGTAAAATTAAAATGTCTTCAAAAGTGTAAATATTTGGTTTAAATTATGCAGGTCAGATGTTAAGTTTGCTAAATGCTTTAAGGTCATAAACTGCTTCTTTGACTTTTGAAAATTGTTGAATTTATTTTGGAGACATTAAATTCTAAGTAAGCCCTGGGGACACGTGAAATTAGCCATGCCCCTTAGCTATGCAAAGAAGGCATAAAAGAAAAGAGATTGTGTATAAGGAAGGATCTTTATGGTAAATTCTGGTCCTAAAGCTAAAGTAAAATGACTGTTTGTTTAAAAGAGAGATGTTTAGGACAAGTCAGAAAGTCCAAACATGTCATAGATGGTCAATGTAAGCCCATTTATAAAAGGATTTATAAAATTACATTTATGCACCAAAAGTGAAAGTTACTAAGCATTATCATTATAACATGTAATTGGGACTACTGAAAAAATAGGTTTACATGCATGGTGTATGAGGAGAATCAAATGTGTTTTTGGTAAGAGATTATAAGAAGGCATGAGAATGTAAATTTTTGCCTAGTTTAAAGGGTTAAATGATTGTGTTAAATTAAATAAAGCTGAAGGTTAAAACAAGTTGTGGAAGGTTTGTAAAAATTAACCTTGTAAAAGGAATTCTATGTGTGAAAATATTGACTAAATTTAAAAGGGTATTATTTGGTTTTACTGTAAATTGAACATCAAAATAAAAGCACAAGAGAGTTTTCTTAAAGCACTAATCTGCTCTTTAACAAAAATTTATAAAGGGTTATAAAAGGTTTATAAAAATCTTGCCATATGATCAAACTGATTAAGATTGGGTAGACTTGTCTATGAGGTTTTATTAAAAATTGGGATTGACATTAATAGTCTGCTAATGCAAGGGTGAAATTTGGCTTTCTTTCTTAAACAAGATTTTCAAGTAATATTAAAAGATAAGATAATGAAAGAGTTTTGTTTGCCTTTTAAATATACTATGAAAGAGAAAAGAAAAAGAAGGGAAAGACAAAAGACAGATTGTGTGGAAAGCTAAGTCTTCCTTCTATCAATGAGTAAAGGTTTTTGCCTTTTTAAACATTTCTGAGTCATCATTTTGATTAAATGAATGACTTATGGTGACCTGGAATTCTATTTCATAATATCAAGTGTTTTAAATCTTTAACATATTTAATAGGTTTCCCAAAATCAAATTTCAGCTTCAAAATGGTCTTTTCTGACCCCTTAACTTTGTAATGCTACAGACGGCATCCAAAAGAGAGGTAAACAGAATTATTTAACATGTTAAGTTACATGGGAAGCATTGTCAAAATAAAAATAATGTTTAATCTTCAAGTTATATTTTAGTGAATGATATTAATATGTGTTCCAAAATTGTATGGGATTTCTAAAATCCTAATATGCCTGAGTATATGCTATCAGTCATAATCATGGTTATTATGTTAAGTTATTGTGCACCACAGAAATAACCAAATTTCCTTGTATAAAACTGCTAACCCAAGTAGAACAAAAAAATTAACTAAATGTCAAGAAAACACTTTGCCAGATTTTCACGTTAAACCAGGCAATACTGAAATTGTTTACATATACAATTTGAACTCCATGTTCTAAGTCAACTTACCTATAATGACCCACTAGTTATCAATGCTATGCACCTAAATTGGAGAAACAACAAGTATTCAAGAGGACATAAGTCCAGTGTTAAGTATGGACTCATGGAGAACCAGGGCACCCTCCTTGTCCTTCCTGAGTCCTTAAAACTTGTGTTATTAAAGGTTCTGCATTCCACAATTCATCATGGAGAAAAATAAAATGATTTAAATTGAATATATTGATATGGTGACTTACAAATTGTGAAAGTAGTTTAAAACCAATGTTTGGTTCTATATTCCTGGGAAGACAATCAAACCTTCAGGTATATTTGGCTGCCTGATGGGTCATTTAAACATTTATAAAGATATTTTGTTCAATTGTCATTTTCAATCATGTTTTTTGTTATAAAAGTTAATTATTATGTCACAGTATATTTTCACCAGGTAAATAAAGCTTTTTATGGTTCACTGAGGACAATCAATTCCTTCACAATCTAGAACCTGAAGATTGAATATTCTGTGACCATCAGAGAAAGACTCTCCTTGCCATCCACACTGCAACAAAACTTTGGAACCTTGTACGTTGGATTCATAACCAAACAACTGAGAAGGGTCCCTCCATACTCTTGGAATTGTACACCCATTGGAACCCTTAAGGTAAAATGAACCAAGAAAGTTTCTCCCCAGAGGAAGATGGAATACTTGATGTGAACAGCTTTTCCCAAGATCACGAATCAAGACTTCTACTATCATGAGACTCTTATCTTTGAATATTTTTTACTTGTTTATGCTTCTATGAATAATAGAAATGGAAAGGAGGTCTATTATGTGCACTTAGAGGGTATATTTTTATTTGTGAAGGATTTTGCACCCAGCCTTATACATGAATAACCTTATACTTTGATAGATAAAAGATGAAGGCCCCATGTAGGTGAGAAACTTTAGTGGTACATACATTGCCTCATAATCAGTCAAAACTCCTCTTAACCCACATCATGGGTTAAAGAGAACATTGCAAGAAGCCCTTTATTCTTCTAGAAGGACACCATTTATTAGGTCCTTTTTCCATGGTTTAAAATAAAAGAGGCAATAATTAGAAATGCATCCCTCATAAGAGGCTCTATAGCAGATTCTACTATAAAGGCTATCATTACACAACAGACTTTATCTTGTGAAAGTTATGCTAATAATAGAGTTGGCTAAAAAGAAAAATACTTGTGCAGTTGTTGGCACTTGTGGCTTATGGAGAAATAACATCAAATGTAGATTATAAAAATTCAGTTGTAGGGGATTAATGAAAAGACCACTTAGTCAAGCAAGTAGACTCTTCATCCAGCTCCTTCTTTAATCTATTTAATTTTAGGTGGTTTGCTTTATGGGGACCCTGGCTAAGGAGCATACCCCAAACTCTTGGTATTATTATCTTCCCAATAGTCTAATAATAGTCTCCCTGATGTGCTATATTCTCTTAAAGATTTTAAATGTTTGCATGCAGCCATCAGTAGAATGTCAAATGGTCTCTCTTCAACTGGAATGATAAGAGCTGAAAGGAATATGTGCCCATAAGGGCACCATAACCTATGAATGATGTGCTGAGACTGGAAACCCAAAATAATGGCAACAGAGAGTGGTGCTAAGGCCCTAAATTTTGGTCACACTCTCACCTAAGTAAGAACCCAACCAAAAAAGGTGAACTTTTAAAACAAAATTATAGGAGGCCATTGTTTTGGACTAAGCTCATGCACTAGGACCCAACAGGCCAAACTGAACTAAAATAGAGTTACTCATGCTAAACGTGACATAATCAAACTAAGACTTTAAGGAAACATGTAGATCCTAGAACAGACTTGGTTTTGTTTTTCTTCTGTAAATAGAACGTTTCAGCAAAAAAGTTACCCTCTACTCAGCCCTTGTTCTTACCTTTTGCAAAACTCACTGTTCTACTATTTCCCAGTGGGTTTCAAGACCAAATAAGTACATTTACAATGGTGATAGTGACATCAATAACTGAAGTTTTTGTGAATCTCTCAAAACCGAGAAAATGACCAAAAAAGGGGAATTGTTAAAGAGAACTAAATATGGCCTGAGAAGGGCTCTGTACTTCTATATTTGAGTCCTTGTGGATGAACCGCAACCTAGCTTAATAGGTAGATAAGATTGAAAACGTAACTTAGGAGTATGTGCCTGTAACAATAGCTGAGTCTTGGCCCATCCTAGCAGCCATACCTCAACCATTCATACACTGCTGAGTGTTTAAACTGTGTTGAAATAAGGCAAACACCAAGCTGTAACCAATCCAGCCATTCTGCACCTCGCTTCTAATTTCTGTACGTCATTTCCCTTTTTTTTGTCTATAAATCTTCCACCACATAGTGGCACGGGAGTCTCTGTGAATCTGCTGTGATTCTTGGGGCTGCCTAATTTGTGAATCATTCATTGCCCAATTAAACTCCTTTAAATTTAATTTGGCTGAAGTTTTTTTTTGTTTGTTTTTTGTTTTTTTTTTACTCAGGCCTAGGCAAAAAATTTGACTAAGGCCCCAAAAGTAAATGCAACAAAAACAAAAATAAATATATAGGATCTTATTAAACTCAAATTAAGCCAAATTCCATACGTTCTCACTTATAAGTGGGAGCTAAGCTATGGGTACACAAAGACATAAGTGGTATGATGGAATTTGGAGACTCAGGATGGGGGAGAAAGATAGGGGAGTGAGGGATAAAAAAAACTACATATTGTGTGCAATGTACACTACTCAGGTGATACATACACTAAAACTCAGACTTCACCTTTATACAATTCATCCATGTAACCAAAACCACCAGTATCCCAGTTCATCCATATAACCAAAAACCACCAGTATCCCAAAAACCATTGAAATTAAAGTATATGTTTATATTTTTTACATATATGTTTCATATATATAAACTTTACATATGTATAAAGTTCAATTTATACATTACACACAGTAAAAGGTTAACAGCTATTAATAAAGTACAACAATTATATTAATAATAATATGCTATAATAAAACTTACATGAATGTGGTCTCTCTCTCAAAATACCTTTTTGTACTGTATTCACCCTTCTTGTGATAATGAAGTAAACTGAATAATATAGGTATTGTGCTGCAGCATTAGGCTACTACTACCTTCTGAAGCAACCTGAGAGGAAGGTTTATTTGCTTCTAATGACCCTGGTTCATTGAGCCATGATGATGTTAATGGTTGGACATTAGTAGCAGACAACGTTTATGACCATTAGGCAGACAGCATCTACATCATGGAATCACTGGATGAAGGAATGATTCACATCTGAGGGGTTTCAGCAGAAGGACACAAGGTTTCATCACTCTACTGAGAACTACACACAAGTTAAAACTTATTAATTGTTTACATTTGTAATTTTCCACTGAATATTTTCAGACCATGACTGACCATAAGAAACTGAAACCACAGAAAATGAAACCACAAATAAGGATGGGCTACTGTAGGAATAAATGGACAAACCCCTTAGAGTGCCTGAATCTACAATATGTCAGCAAAAGAACCTACAATATATGCCTGAAGTAAATCACCTTCAAGTATGTTCAATCATTCCTTCTCTTTATTCAAAATTGAAATTTCCAAAATTCAATTTGGAATTGAATTTTGCCCTAACTTTGTCAGGGCAGGGAAGAACATCTTAAAAAACAGTCCCCCAAACCTGCTGATGTTCCCCCAATGTAACATCTGTTGTTTGGCTTCCAAGATAACTGAGGATAGATACCCCACAAGCAAAGAGACCCAGAAGAGTGTTGGATGCTTGGCCAAGGAGTTTGGTCTTCATCTTATAGGCAGAGGAAAGTCATTGGAAAAATAAAGAATGGAGATAATCCACACTTCTGTTCTCTTTGGGAACATGATACACTCTGGGAACTGTCAACAAATAAAATCATAAATGAATGCAATATACAAATATGATATACAATTCTCATGACATTTATTGGTGAGCAATCTGGATGTTAGAAAGAGGAATGAAGTTAGAAGTGATTCGTTGAATACAATTTCATTTTGTAGGTAACTATGCAGAGAAGCAACATCTGTAGCTTTCCCTTGGTCACAAGTTTACCTACTGGCATTCAAGATTTAGGACTAACTTTCTTTGGTTATTATATGACACCATCATGCTGAGCCATTGTGATAAAAGCCTGTGTTAATGTACCTTTCTTCAGTAAAATACTGCTAACAGATCCTATTGTGACTTGGATCATGTCTACAGTATTCATAATGTTGGGCATTTCTCTCACTATTACTTCAAATGCTGAAGATGTAATGTTTCATCTTTCATTTCCTCATTTATTCAGCAAGGACCTAGTGAGCATCAGATGCTATGTTGGCTGAGGGTACAAAGATAATAGTAATGGTATTGATAATAATAATATCAACAATAATAATAGAGAACACTTACAAGGTGCCAGACAATATTCTGAGTGCTTTTCATGTGTCAATTCATTTAATCCTCATAAAAAACTGTGAGCAGGGATGGAGAGTGACTGCTGATGGGTTCAAGGTTTCTTTGGGGGATGATGAAAATGTTCTAAAATTAGATTGTGGGGTTGGTTGCACAAATCTGTAAATACACGAGAAAACACTGAGTTGAACACTCTAAATGGGTGAATTTTATACCATGTGAATTATATTTCAGTAAAGCTCTTAATAAATAAAATTAAACCCAGAAGATAGATTATTGGCCCCACAATGCAGATAAGTAATGTAAGGCACAGAGAGGTTCCATCATTTGTCCAAGGTCAAAAAGCTGCTAAGACACAGTGCTGGGATTTAAATCCAGGCAGACTCAGAGTCTATACAATATATATACAGTCCTTTACCTGAAAGAATTCAAAATATGGGGCATCTTTACAGAAAATGAAGCATACATATATAGCCCTTGTATTTCAGTTTGCAGTTCCATTAAATACACATTTGGAGAAAAAGAAAAAGTATATAAAAGAAAGCCAATGGATCGCAGAGTACTGAATATCAGGGCATGTGCCATTATGTCCAAAGCCTGATTCTCCTCCTGAAGACAGTGTGATCAGGAAAAAGTTTCATAAAATCAGTTGAAGAAAAGAAGGTAAAGAGAGCAGTTTACTCAGTGAGGGTTAACATGACAAGCATAAGCTGGCCTGTGTGTGGACACCCTTCTCCAGGAAGTCCTAGCACCTGGAGGAACACACAGGAAACAAACGGATAACTGTCGGTGAATGACACTCAGCTAGTTAAACAGTAGCTTAGGTTGAATTCCAACTTTCTATACTTTAGATTGACTCAACTTTAGGCCAGAAAAGAAGGCAAAAGAGCCGCACAAGATAATCTGAGATATGCAGGCATTAAATGATTTGGTGAGCACCTGGTGTTAATGAGGCCACAGCTCCAGGCTTCTACAGGTCAACTAGTTCTTACACAAAATCTTTTTCAAGAACACAGACTCTGGCTGTCTTGAAAATATATTTAAGTGGTTAAAAAAAAGAACTGAATAAGAGAAAACGGGTGGCTGAGCTCGAATTCTTTTCAACTCTAGGAAAAACTCACAGTGCATTCCTACTGATGGTGAGCTAAGGACAAAGCATTCCCTAAATAGTATGCATTCAACCATTAACAGATTGTTAACACCACAATGTAGCAGACATAGGAAATACTTAAACCAGAATGCAGTAACCAAATTTCAGTTCTATAAACTTGCAGTCTGCTTCAAATTCTACTCAACTGTATTTATGCACCAAGCAATGCACTAATCGTTGGATAAATAAGGCATATGACCTTTTGTGCCAAAAAAGTACACAGTATGTTTCTAAACTCCTCAAAATTTTTAGCATGACTGTATTATTACTTAGTTGAATATTTTTCTCATTTGGTAATGAATTATGAGTGTGATATTCATTAGGTCCCAAATAGTGCTCTTCTTATCCACTAAAAGAGCTACATAAAAAATACAAAAGTTGTAGCACTATTCACAATAGCCAAGATATGGAATCAGCCTAAGTGCTCATTAACAGATAAACAGATAAAGAAAATGTGGTATATATACACAATGGAATATTATTTCACCATAAAAAGAATGAAATACAGTCATTTGCAACAACATTAATGGAACTGGAAGACATTATGTTAAGTGAAATAAGCCAAAGACACAAAGGCAAATGGCATATGTTCTTACTCATATGTGGGAGCCAAAAAATAGGCTGGGAAGAATAGTGGAGAGGAAGGGATAAAGAGAGGTTGCTTAATGGGTACAAAAATACAGTTAGAAAGAAGGAATATGATCTAGTATTTGGTAGCACAAACACTTAGGGCGACTTTAGCTGACAATAGTTCATTGTATATTTCAAAATAACTAGAAGAGTAGAATTGGAATGTTCCCAACACAAAGTAATGATAAGTGTTTGAGGTGATGGGTATCCCGACTACCCATATTTGATGATTATACATTGTATGCTTGCATCAAAGTGTCACATATGTTTCAAAACATGTACAACTATAATGTGTCCATACAAATTAAAAATAAATTAGTTAAAAATGTAAAGGCAGATTTTCTTACTAAAATTCAAAAACTGCCTTTATATAAATTACAGAAGAAAATAAATTTTAAATAGGGTGATAAATCCCAAATAATTTATATTTAGTTTGTGAATGTTCAAAGCACACACACACACACACACACACACACACACACACAGAGATGTTCTAATTCAGATATGAGCCCTCTCTGAGTCCAATTTCTCTATCCACCACAAACTTTACACTTTCTTCTGTTAGCCTACTTATATATGCATACAACTAGTTGACCTGTAGAGGCCTGGAGCTGTGGACTCATCAACACCAGGTGCCCACCAAATCACATAATGCCTGCATATCTCTAATATATTAGAGGAAGGAGAACTAAGTAGATAAAAGCTCAGGTATCCATAAAATGTAATATCTAAACTAGGACAATGTTGAAAATGAAGAAAGCCATAATGATTACAGTGGGACAATAGAAGGAAACTGGGGCTATACTGGGCAAATTGAGACATTAGAGTCACCCTGTTAAAAGTCTGTGCTGAGTTCTGAGGTCACACTCTGCTAGTAGTTACAGAGAAACAGCTGAAGGCTTTTCAGTAGTGTTGTTAAATGACCAGAACTTCAGGAAGCTTAGCATAGAAGTGGGTTATGGCTCGATTGGAGCAGAGAGAGACTGAGGCTAGGAAAGCCCATGAACATTTTTATGACACCAGTGAAGACATAAGGAAAGGCCAAGCCACGATGGCAGCAATAAAAAGAGAAAACCTATATGAGACATTATCTAAAATCACAGTTAAAGCAGTTAAAGAAGATATACAAGTTGTGACACTGGTCCAAGTAGTTATAAACTTTTGAACACATCTCAAGGGACTTGATAGGTAAAGGTCAGGCATGGTAGAGCAATTGCCAGCAGGAGAAACCAAGGTGAGATCAGATTCCAGGGCCAAAGCTGTTTGCTTCATACTCATTTTTTTCATACTTCCTGTTCATCTGAGTGCCAGGATCACAGGTGTGTGCTTCACTCCACGGAGAACTCCACGGGGGGTAGTAAACATCCCCATTCTGTTTACTACCATGGAAGGCATAGGTAAGCCAAGAGGTTCTGTCACTAGTGGGGTAATAAAATGCCACCAACAATTGCTCCAGACACCACTTGGTGGCACCAGTACCCTGAAATGATTGAATGCAACCTGCTTATCTTGTTCTTCCATGGGAAATTCATATAAACCTTCAGCCAACCCTCAAGTTCAGTTTTTTCCAGGATTATTTGAGTTTGTCGGAACTGTCACATCCTCCTTTATTGTTATCCATGGAGATTCTGGTAGAAGATGAGAATGTCTTTATTTTAATGATCTCTTATTATTTCAAGTATTCCTTTGAATGTACACACACAGAATTTTGCATAAATATGACCATTTCTTACTGGATTTTGCCTATATTAGATTCTTCCCTTTTTGTTTAGCTTCCTCACCTACCATCACCACAATTCCCCCAACCCCTTCCAGAAAACCCACCTTAACAACCTGGTATGTATCTGTTCATATTTTTTCCATCATATAACCTTATACAAATGGATAGATAGACTATAGAGAGACAAATGAATACATACAAAAGTTGTTTTGGTCATTGATTCATAATGTAGACTCACATGTTCTTCTATACATGTTACTTTTCTATCTCAACAATACCAGGTGGTAATTCTTCAAAGTCAACTGGTATTGCTCCATTTTGCTCTTTTGAGTGGCTATATTATATTCTATGGTATAAATATGCCTTAATTTATTCACCAACAGTCCCTATTGAAGGGCATTCACTTGGTTTTACTTTTGCCACATTAAATAATGCTGCTGTTGTCTATATCCTTATGCACTGGTACGGACATAAGTATATATTTTTTTAATTTATGAAATGTTGCCAAATTTACTTTCAAAAAGCTGCTTAAAATTCCCATTTCCCCAGCAACGTATGAAAGTACTCCTTCCCTCACATCTTCACTTGCTATGTACAGTTTTGCTTTTTACTTTTTCTCAGCTTGATGGGTGTAAAATGATAACTTATTATTATTTACTTTTTGTTTTTCTGACTGTTTGTGATTTTTTTTTAGCATCTTTTCAGGTTGTTGGGCTATTTTGATTTGATTCTTCACAGCATTTGCCCAAAGCAGAGATTTTTTTAAAAGACCTCTACTTAATAAAGAAGCTAGAAGAATATTGCTAAAATATATTTTAGAAAGTAGAAAATATGATTTATTATAGTCACTAATATCCATATGAAATATCTAACACACACTAAAAGCATTGGAATGCCAGAAAATAATCTTGTAAGTACTATTTAATTTGAAATGTCTCCTCTGAAGACAGAATGTGCCTATTTTTCTCTTCATAAGGAATTGTCTCTTTCATAGTGTTTTACTTCTGATCGGACAATGTACTTTGCTGTGTATGCTTAAGTAGGATTAGGTATTAAATAGAACCAGTTCCATTTATTTGATTGCCATTCCAAATACTTGCTTTAAAAAAGAAAGAAAGAACAAAAAATCAGTAGGGAAAGAAATTGTATTTTTAAGCTTCTAAGAAGATTTTATAAACAATAGAGCCCAGAGAACAAAAAAAAAAAAGCCATAAAATGACTTGACAGTGTCCTTTTAAGTGAACATATGTGAGTTTTATGCATCCATATGTGTTCACATATGCCCTACATATGCACAGCCAGCTGCTAGCCGGCCAGATTGTTCAGTGTGTATGTTTACTGGAAAACAAGCCCAAAGTGTTTGGTCTCTTTGTTAGAGAAACAGCTCATAATTTCAAGTATACAAATGTCAGTTGTTTCTCATTTCTTTTTCTTCCAAGCCAAATGAGCTGTTGATGCTCAATTTGGCAAGAATCTAACTGAGGCTGACTATCAGCCAGCCACAGGAACCCAGCCCTGAAAGTTTGAGAAATTTTTACAAGAATAAGAAGCTTTTTCCTAATGGCTCCCTAAACCATAGAAAGTTTCCTTAGAGCCTCAGCCAGTTCTCTCCCACTCAATATCCCAAAGTATAACCGCTAACATTGTTTGGATACTAATGGATTAAGTTAGGGTGTGAAATGGGAATATTAAGTCCTCCCATACTTTGGCCAAATACTCTTTAGAAACCCTCTTAACAGAGAAGAGCCCGAGGGTGTAGAGATTTTATTTGTGATAGCAACCTGAGCTATGAGCCCTAACATCTCTCCTTTTATTTCATCTTTTATGACTGTCCCACAGCTTAAAATGATGAAGTAACATTTGGACCAATTTCCAATTGAAGATTAAGCCTTTAGATCAATTATATATCTGCTTCCACAATTAAGGTATTAAACCCAATTATCACTGTTATCTCTGCAGCCTGAATAGAGGAAGGAAAAGCATGTGGAAGCTGGATAGAGTGAAAGAACTTGTGCTTTGGGGCGAGAGAGTCTGTGTCCCATCCTGGATCATTCCCTGACCACATGGCCTTAGGTAAGCAGCTTCACACTTCCAACTTCAGTGTCCTTATCAGCTAGATGAAAATATGCCGATTTCCTAACATTCTGATGAAAATGAAATGAGAAAACCTACGTAAAGAACAATGCACAGTACTGGAGATAGGATAAGTGCTCAATAAATTTAAGTTCTATTCCCCCTTCTTTACATTTTTCTCACCCTAGTCCCTGCAAAAAGAGAGAGACATGAGAACCAGGAATATTTCTTGATCAACGACATAATCCAAAGGTCCCCAATCCTAATGGCAGGGAGGAAAAGGGCTGAATTAAACAAACAAAATTCATTTAAAATGTTGGTTTTTCATATCATAAACAGAGTCAGAACTGATAAGTTGTATTTATGTGTGAACATATTCATAAAAACATACTCATTTATTTAGCACCTATTGTGTCTCTATAACAGTACCTGACATGTACTAGTAGCCACAAATATTTCTTAAATAAATGAATAAAAACCAAGTCATTAGAGCACCATCATAATTTTTTCCTAAGTGCTCAGTTTCCTGGGATTTGTTTGTTAGTGATGGCTCCTTGCTTTCCAAGGTGAATGGAAAGGAAGGAAGGTAAGGAAGAACTACAAGTATCCATTGTCACAGACATATGCAGCCACTGAAGAATAACTAGAATTATCTTATCCACCTTCTGGCTTACCAACACAGGCTCCTTCTGTATCTAATCACTTCTCATTCCTTCTTTCCCTTACTCCATTCAACCTTCATGAAGCTGTCCAACATTTCCTCACAACTGAAAAATACAATTCCTATTGCTGCAGGTGTCCATGTGTTTGGGGCAAAAATGAGCCACTGCTAACAATTGTAAAGAAAGAGAGAACAGCTGTTTGCATCTGGATATGGGGTAAGAAAGAACAGCTGCTGGCAGCGGTGGCAGACAAGAAAGTGAGCAAATGAGCAGCTGTTGGTAATTCAGAATCTCATCAGCCACACAGAATAATTGAAATCCAGAACCATGCAGGGCTCGACTTAACAGCTTTATTGCATCCTGCTGTTCATTAGATCCTGCCTGTCCTCCATTAGAGATTCCTGTGATAGCTACATGAGGACTCTCAACAGGAATATCCACCCCGACATCCCCATCCACAACCCTTTGAAGAAGCAACCCAAGAGAGGTAAAAAGGCACAGACTTTTCTTCCAGTAAGTCCATACCTATTTTTACACAAAGGAAGACAAGGGAAGGGATATTAACACACATGGGAATGATCACAAGATTGGCCAAAAATAATTATTTCTGTATTATAAGAAATTATAGCCATTTTAATGATGAACTCACATTTCAGAATTCCAGCAAGCCAGCATAAATATGTGATAAGTATAACTTAAACTTGAAAAAATATATTTTGAAATACTGTCAGTGGTTTCAATGTCTCTTTTCATGTATATGTAATCCTATGACTATATATATATATATATACACACATACATCCCTCTTTTTTTTTACTTTTAATAAAAAGAAGAGAAAAACATGTTTGCATCACGCATTACAAAATGTGTTTGGTTTCCTTTTGGGCTTCATACTAGTTCTTCTAGCCAACTGGAATTCTAGGATAAATCTAGAATAGATTGGATAGGATAAATTTGAGTGACCCCAAAATATCAGTCCATCTCTCACCTTGCTTAATACAGAAGAAAAACATCTCATTACTCTCATATATAGAATTCCAATTCTTTAGTCACTGAAAGAAACAGTAGAAGAGAAGAAAAAAGAAACCAACCCCAATGTTATTTATTGCTGAACTATATACAACTAAATGTCCCCAAATAAAAGCATATTTAATTATATGGCAAGTTATCTGTATTTATAAAGGTGATCGTTTTGAAGATGTTAATAGGGGAAATACTTGTGACACAACACTTATGGAGAAGAGTCTGCAAAGATCATTTAGACAGGAAAAGTTGAATGCAAAATGTGCACCATAATTAACATTATGGTTTAAAGGTAGGCATAAGACAATTACATGAAAGAAATATTTTTAAATGGAGGAAGTCAAAATAAGAGAGCAGAAGGGAAATTTTAAATTTCATTTCTTTTGCTATTTTTCTCATTCTGCTGTTATTATAAAACGTAAAAGATCTAAATAATAATTAGATTATAATGGAAATTACTGATAAAATCCTAAACTGTTAGTAACGTAAGGACAGGGTCCTTCTTTGTTTTTGATCACCTTTTGTTTCCACTGCCAGACACAGTGTTCAGACATTTAACACATATTTGTTAAATGAAGAAGTAAATGAAATGAGTAAATCCTCTATGTTTTAAAACTGCCATTGCAGAAGAAAGAATGAAACCACTTCTACCAATGGCATATATGTGACTGAGAAAATACTTCCTCTACTGAAAGGATCAATTAGAAACATCCCTGAAGTTTTACACTCACAGCATCTTAAAATGGAGACTCCCATGATGAGATATGTGGCCCAACCAGATCTAATGAACCCACGAATTATGAATAATGAGAGGCAGAGAAACTAGCCAACCTCTGAATGTGTTTTCAACTGTAAGATATAATTCTATGACTCGGATTAAGAGAAGAAGGAGAAAGATTGATTGCCAAAAATTAATTTCACAGCATCTGACTCTTAATTTGCCAACTAGAATGGCCAAGACAAAGTTCTAGTAGTTTTGTGCTCCAGGTGGATAACTTTTGCCAAAGTGAAATTGTTTAGTGTAGCTATTCACAGCTCCCCTCTCAGGTCCAGGGTTTGTTCCCTGGTATGACACTAGAAGAAGCGTTTGAACTTTAAGCAAGTTGGTAAGAACACAGATGCTGTCCACCCTTGATTTTACTGCCCCACATTCCTGCAACAGTAGACTCCAAGGTTTAAAGACTTCCATTATGTCAAGAGCTGCCTCTGAATCAACCTTGTCTACTAAACCATTTCCTGGGAAAACTGTGATATACTCATCATTCTGGTATAAACATCTTAATATAAAGTCTGTTTTCCAGATATTTTAAAACTTCCCCAAGCCCTGCTTGCATAAAGTGTAAATGTTCCGTGTTAACATAAGGTACGCCTGCATTTTGAGTGTTGAGTAACTCAAGACCCTGACAAACTTGTATGTTATCCAAAATATGTTTGCAGACTTTTCCCCGTTGCCTATAAAATAGCATTAAAGGAAGTATCTCACTCCATAAATAAAACTGTCGAGTATTTAAGTGACTTACACTTCATCATCATCATCACCAAAACTGTAAAGTGCCCTTTCTCTCCAGGGCTGGGATCATAATATACTGGGCATATTCAACAGATATTTGAGTAACCCACTGAGAAGATGCAGTACTAAGTTTTTTTTCATCTTTCTTTTCTTTGATTCCTTGACAGCAGGAATCATGCCACCTACTAATCTCCAGATATAATTTCTGTATTACAAATGTAAAGCTTAATTTTATGTGATAACTTCACTGGGCCGTGGGGTACTCAGATATTTTGTCAAACATTATTTTGGGTGTTTACATCAGAGCATTTTTGAGTGAGACCAAAATTTAAATCAGAAGACTGAATAAAGCAAATTAACCTCTATAATGTTGGTGGGACTAATCTAATCAGTTGAAGGCCTGGATAGAACAAAATGGCTAACTCTCCCCCAGGTAAGACAGCAATCTTCTTACCTGATGACCTGTGAACTGGGCATTGGCTTTTATTCCTGCCTTTGGACTCCAACTGAAACATCAGGTCTTCCTGGGTCTCAAGCCTACCCACCTTTGAATTGGAGCTATGCCATCTGCTCTTCTGGTTCTCAGGCCATCAGATTTAGACTGGAACTAATTTGTCAGCTCTCTCAGGTCTCCAGCTTGCTGACTCATCCTGCAGATCCTGGGACTTGCCAGCCTTCCTAACCAATCATGTGAGCCAATTTCTGATCATTTCTTTCTGTATAGGAAATATACACACATATCTACACATACAAACTGTTGGTACTGTTTCTCTGGAAATCCTTTACTGACACAATAAGTAAGTCAGCAAATAACATCCAGTCCACTGAAATAATCAAGTAAAACCATTCTGCAATGTATATATATACTTCAAAACTTTATATTATACATAATAAATACATACAATTTTATGTCAGTTAAATCTTTTTTAACATTTTGAAAAAAAAATTCTTTCATGGTTACTTTCCATAATGGCAGAGAAAAGTTGGAAGTGGGCTCCAGATTCCAGGTAGTGGGGTAGAAAAGACTGGGATTAAAAAGAGTCTGGTGGGGGCAAAATAAATACTCTATGGATTAGATATTGAGAGAGTTTGTAATGTCCCTACCTTGGGTATTCCTACTGAATGATCCCTAAATTCTAAGTCAGGTGGTGTGAAGGAAAAAGCCTGGATTTTAGTAACGTAGTAGACTGGGGTGAATTGTATTCTACCATTTCTCACTGCATGATATTGGAAGTATCTTTGAGTCTCACGTCTTCACTCGAACAACAACAATAATGCCCACCCGAAGAATTGTAAAGATTAAATTACATGGCATGCAAAAGTCCCAGTCACACCATAAACTGATAAAACATAGCTTAATTTCCTTTCCTTCCATACTTAACCATAAGTTCTGGGCAGAGAGTAACCTTATTTTAAGCATCTTTATATTTCCCATAGATCTGTCCCAATTGTAGATCTTTAAGAATATTTGTTAAGCAAAGCAACCAATAAAGCTAGTAAAGTTAGAGCCATCATCCTTTTATTTCTAGCACAGAATTAATGACTCCATCTGTAAAAACAGCCCAGCACTATGCCTTCTAAAGGCATTTTTCAAAATCGTGAATTCATTTTGGATGTCTTGACACGTAAGATTTCAGTTAGACATTCAAGTGTATACAGGTCTAGTGCTTAGGAGAACAATCTAGACTAGAGATGTGGAGCTGGGAGCCATTGGCACCTAACTGAAATAACAGGAAAGCAATTGTGTAGAGCAAGAAGACTAACAGGTCATGTCAGGATCCTACAAGGTATCAACATTGAAGTCAGCCCCCAAAGGAGCATCCAGAGAAAAAGAAGAAATACAAACAAGTGTGGTATCACAGTAGTCATGACACAAGAATTTTTCAAAGAGGGAATGAATGCTC
Source organism: Homo sapiens (assembly GCF_000001405.40). Taxonomy (NCBI): domain Eukaryota; kingdom Metazoa; phylum Chordata; class Mammalia; order Primates; family Hominidae; genus Homo; species Homo sapiens. Next base: position 71,224,606 of record NC_000012.12, read on the forward strand.
AATAATGCCAAATGTTGCTGAGAAGTCTAGGAAGATAAAGTCTGAAGGAATGGAGTAGGTAGTCAGGCTTAGTCACTGCTGAAGTCACTTCTAACTGGTCCTTCACCTCTGGTCTCACCTTCAATCCATCTTCCCTGGAATAATTATTTATCTAAAACACCAGCCTGATTCTGTTTTTCTCTTCTTAAAGCTCTCCCACGCTTCTCTGCTTCTCATAAAATCCTAAGTTCATAGTATTGTAGGCATAGCCAGCTACAATTTATTTCATTCGTAGACTTTCATCTTCCCCGAAATTATATTTTTGCCCAACATTTGCGTACACTTCAGTCTCAGCCCTTCTCCTTCCTCTTTATTCTTTGAATTCCATGTGAATGTCAGTTCCTTGCAAATATCCACTGATTCCCTCGAATTTAATCTTTCCTTTTCTGTGCATCATAGGAGTTGGTATGTATGTTGAAGATGCTGCATTCGGCTGCACAGCACTCAAGCTACGTGAATAAAGGCAGCTAGCTACCTTGATTAATTCATAGATCTCATATCACTAGTGTAATTATGGGTTAACTTCTCTTTCTCCCTTTTAGATGATAAGAACTTTCTCCCTCTTCAGGGTCACGAACAGAGCTGGAGTCTCTTTCACCTTTATAATCCAATCATAAAGCAAAGCTCCCAGTAAGGCTTGTCTCCTTGTAGAATGTTGCAAAGCTAAATAAATCATAACAAATAACAGATAGAGCTTGAAAAACAAGTTTACCTTCTATATGGGCAATGAATGGCCACACATAACTTAAATTGGAGTTCTATTGAAAAGATTCCATTTCTTGTCACATTCTCACTAAAAATTAGTGGGCAAAGTTTAATAGACTTTTCTAATTCTACCAATCACTGGGGAATTCTAGTTCACAATTATTTAAGGACTGAGTTTTTAATGGTTCCCAGCTTTACTTCTTGCTGATCTCTTAATAATCTGACTACCTGTAACATTTCCACCAGATATTACAAGAACAGAGCAATAAAATTCAAAGTGACTCCTTATAGAAGCAATCACCAACACTTGTTAAAGGAAATTTAAATAACAGCTTAAAATATGGCTTCATAATTATCTCTGATTGTTCTCTATAAATTCACCTAATTGAAAATGACAAATATCTAAAAAATTAACTGAGCATACATATTTCGATGCATAATGTTTAAATGTTTATTTTCTCAAAAACCCCAGAATTTGAAAAATCAGTTTTTCTTGCTCATGAACAAAAACCTTGCAAATTTGTCTTCTGAAGGGCCAGCCTTTTGAAGCATTTTATTTCATAATATGTTTGTCACTGAAGCTATATTTAAAGGTATATTATGACCATTATTTGTTTTCCTTTGACTTAATATAAGGTAAACATTAACTTTACTTATAGAGTGTTAATAGGCTGAAATTTTATGTCAAGCTTTTAAAAACAATTTTTCCTAGAAAATTAGGTCAAACGTTGGGATGTTTTTCCTTAAAATCAACAGGTACGATTTTAAGGCCATACACATCCTAAAGTATACTTCATGAAATAAATAAGATTCACAGTTTAATTTCTATAACTCATACAATTTTGGATAGAAATATTCCCAGAATAATATAATTTTAATTTCATTGAAAGAAAATTAATTTATAGAGTTGTAGCAAAGATCAAAAGCTAATACAGACAGAGCAGGGGTGGGGGGAGCAAGATGGTGGAATAGAAGCCTACACTGTTTGTCCCCCCAGAAGAGCAGCAAATTTTAACAACTATCAACACACAGAAAAGCACTGTCATAAGAACCAAAAAATAGATGAGCAATCACAGTGCCTGGTTTTACCTTCATATCACTGAAAAAAACATTGAAGAGCATCAGAGAGAAAGTCTTCATTTGTTTACACCACCCCTCCCCCATCCCACAGCAGTGGCTGTGTAGTGCAGAGAAAGAATCTGTGCACTTGGGGGAGGGAGAGGCAAGTGATGGGGGTACTTTACAATGAACTCAGTGCTGCCCTGTCACAGTGGAGAGCATGCTGGGCTCAGCCAGCTCCCACGCATGGAAGGAGCATTTGGACCAGCCATAGCCAAAAGGGAATTGCCCCTCCCAGAGGTCAAAACTTGAGTTTCTTGATGGGCCTTGCCACCATAGGCCAAGTGCTCTGGGGTCCTAGGTAAACTTGAAAGGCAGTCTGGGACACAAGGACTGCAATTCCTAGTCCTGAACTGGGCTCAGAGTCAGTGAACTAAGATGGCATGTGACCTAGGGAGGCACCAATTGTCATGAGGAGAGCTTGCACCATCCCTCTCCCAACCCCAAGCAGTACAGCTCATAGCAATGAAGGGAAGAGCCCAGTCCTGGCAGAATTCATCACCTGCTGACTAAAGAGCCCGTGGCCGCTGAATAACAGGCAGCAATACCCAGGTATTATGCCATGGGCCCTGGGCTCTGAGATGTGCTGACTTTAGGTGTGACCCAGCACATTCCCTGCTATGGTGGCTATGGTGAAAGTCTCCTTCTGTTTGAGAAAAGCAGAAGGAAAAAATAAAAGGGACTTTGTCTTGCACCTTATATACCAACTCAAACACTGTAAGGTAGAGCAACAAACAGGCTCTTGGGGTCCCCAAGTCAGGGCCTAGCTCTTAGACAGCATTTCTGGATCTTTCGTGGGCCAGAGGGGCGCCTACTGCCCTGAAGAGTGAGTCCCAGGCCTGGCAGCATTCACCATAAGCTAATTAAAGAGCCCTCGGCCTTTGAGTGAACATTGGTGGTGGCCTGGCAGAACCTCCCATGGGCTGTGGTGGGAATCTCCCTGAGCCACACGGAGATGCTCCTCTGCCTGTATAAAGGGAAGGAAGAGTGAGGGCTTTGTATAGAGGTTTTATTGTCTGCTTAGCAGCAGTAGAACAGAACATCAGGCAAATTTCTAAGGTTTCTGAGAGCCAATTTCTGGCTCTCAGACAGCATCTCTGGACCCACCAAGAGTCTAGGGAAGCTCACTTCCCTGAAGGGAAGGACACAAACCTGGCTGGCTTTGCCACTTGCTTATTGTAAGCCTGTAGGGCCTTCAGTGAACATAGGTGATAGCCAGATAGCAGTTTGTGGCTCAGCACAGAGGGAAAGACTCCATTTGTTTGGGAGAAAGTAAGGGAAAAGAACAAGAGTCTCTGCCTAGTAATCCACAGACCTCTCATGGATCTTATCCAAGACCACCAAAGTGGCACCTCTATGTGTCTCCAAAAACCATACATTACTGGGCTTGAGGCCTAAGTCCTTTCAAACATCTGGAAAGCCTTCTCAAGAAGGGTGGATACAAACAAGCCCAGGAGGTGAAAACTACAATAAATACCTTACTCTTCAATGTCCAAACAATGACAAATATATACAAGCATTAAGATTATTCAGGAAAACATGACCCTACCAAACAAACTAAATAAGGCACCAGGGGCTGATCCTGGAGAAACAGAGATATAGATATGTGACCTTTCATACAGACAATTCAAAATTGTTGTTCTGGGCAAACTCAAAGAAATTCAAGATAATACAGAGAAGGAATTCAGAATTCTATCAGATAAATTTAACAAAGAGATTGCACCAATTAAAAAGGATCAAGCAGAAATTCTACAGTTGAAAATGCAATTGACATACTAAAGAATGCATCAGAGTCTCTTAACAGCAGAACTGATCAAGCAGAAGAAAGAATTAGTGAGCTTGAATACAGGCTATTTGAAAATACACAATCAGGGGAGACCAAAGAAAAAAAGAATAAAAGAGAATGAAGCACACGTACAAAATCTAGAAAATAGCTTCAAGAGGGAAAATATGAGTTATTGGCCTTAAAAAGGAAGTCGAGAAAGAGATATTGGTAGAAAGTTTATTCAAAGGGATAACATTAGAGAATTCCCTAAATCTAAGGAAAGATATGAATATTAAAATACAAAAAAAGTTATAGAACACCAAGCACATTTAACCCAAATAAGACTACCTCAGGCATTTAATAATAAAACTCCCAAAGGTCAAGGATAAAGAAAGGATTCTAAAACAGCAGGAGAAAAGAAACAGATAACATATACTAGAGCTCCAATAAGTTTGGTAGCAACTTTTCACTGGAAGCCTTACAGCCCAGGAGAGAGTGGCATGACATATTTAAAGTGCTGAAGGCAAAACAAAAACAAAAAACACTTTTATCCTAGAATACCATATCCAGTGAAATTATTCTTCAAGCAAGAAGGAGAAATAAGGACCTTCCCAGACAAACAAAAGCTGGAGGATTTCATCAACACCAGATCTATCATACAAGACATGCTAAAGGGAGTTCTTCAATCTGAAAGAAAAGGATGTTAATGAGCAAGAAGGAATCACCCGAAGGTACAAAACTCACTAGTAATAGTAAGCATACAGAAAAACACAGAATATTATAACACCATAATTGTGGTGTGTAAACTACTCTTATCTTAAATATAAAGGCTAAATGATGAAACAATAAAATAACAACTACAACAACTTTTCAAGACATAGACAGTACAGTGAGTCATAAAGATAAGCCACAAAAAGTTAAAAAGCTGGGGGACAAAGTTAAAGTGTAGAGTTTTTATTAGTTTTCTTTTGGCATATTTGTTTATCCAATGAATGTTGTCATCAGTTTAAAACAATGGGTTATAAGATGGTAACCTCAAATAAAAAAGCATACAGTAGATACACACAAAACACACACGCAAAAACTTAAATTATACTACCAGAGAAAATCACGTTCACTAAAAGGAAGGCAGGAAAGAAGGAAAAGAAGAAGAAAAGACCACAAAATAACCAGAAAACAAATAACAAAATAGAAGTCAGTCTTTACTTATCCATAATAATATTGAATGTAAATGACTAAACTTTCCAATCAAAAGGTCGCTGAATGGTTGTAAAACAAGGCCCTAGAATCTGTTGCTTACAAGGAAACACACTTCGTCCATAAAGATATACATAGACTGAAAATAAAGGGATAGAAAAAGATATTCCGTCTCACTGGAAACCAAAAAACAGCAAGAGTAACTACATTTATATCAGACAAAATAGATTTCAAGACAAAAACTGCAAGAAGAGACAAAGGTCATTATATAATAATAAAGGGGCAAATTTAGCAAGAGGGTATAATGATTGCAAATATATATGCAGCCAATACTGGAGCACCCAGATACATAAAGCAAATATTATTAGAGCTAAAGAGAGAGGTAGACCTAAATACAACAACACCTGGAAACTTCAACATCCCACTTTCAGCATTGGACAGATCTCCCAGACAGAAAATCAACAAAGAAACATCAAATTTAATCTGTACTATAGAGCAAATGAATCTAATAGATATATGGAACATTTTATCCAAAACCTGCAGAATACACATTCTCCTCCTCAGCATGTGAATCATTCTCAAGGATAGACCATATGTTAGGTTACAAAACAAGTCTTAAAACATTCAAAAACTTGAAATAATATCATGCATCTTCTATGACCACAATGAAATAAAACTAGAAATCAGTAACAAAAAGGAATTTTGTAACTACACAAGCACATGGAAATTAAACAATATGCTCCTGAATGACCAAAGGGTCAATGAAGAAATTAAGAAGGAAATTGAAGGCTGTTGTAGTGGCTCACATCTATAATTCCAGCACTTTGGGAAGCCAAGATGGGAAAATCGCTTGAGCCCAGGTGTTTGAGACCAGCCTGGGCAACACAACAAGACCTTGTCTCTACAAATAACAAAAGGAAAAATTGGGTGGGCATGGTGGCATGTGCCTGTGATCCCAGCTACTTGGGAGACTGAGGTGGGAGGATCACTTGAGCCAAGAAATTTAAAGATGCAGCAAGCCATGATCATGCCACGACTCTCCAGCCTCAGTGACAGAGTGAGACCCCATCAAAAACAAAAAAGAAGAAAAATTTCTTGAAGCAAATGATAATGGAAACACAACATACCAAATCTGTGGGATATAGCAAAAGCAGTACTAGGAGGGAAGTGTATAGCTGTAAGTGTCTACACTGATAAAGAAGAGAAACTTCAAATGAATAACCTAAAAAGTATGCTAAGAAACTAGAAAAGCAAGAGTAAGCTGAACCCAAAATTAGTAGAAGAGGAGAAATAATAAATAAATAAATAAATAAATAAATAAATAAATAATAAATATCAGAGACAAAATAAATGAATTTGAAATGAAACAAAAATAATACAAAGAACAACTAACAAAAAGTTGGTTTTTTTAAAAAGATAAACAAAATTGACAAAGTTTTAGCCAGACTAACAAAGAAAAAAAATGGGAGAAGATTCAAATAAATAAAATCAGAGATGAAAAAGGAGGCACTAAAACTGATACCACACACATTCAAAGGATCATTAGTATATACTATGAGCAACTATATGCCAATAAATTGGAAAATCTAGAAGAAATAGGTAAACTCCTAGACACATACAGCCTACCAAGATTGAAATATGAAGAAATCCAAAACCTGAACAGATGAATAACAAGAAAAGAGACCAAGTCATAATAAAAAGTCTCCCCGTAAAGGAAAGGGTAGGACTGAAAGGCTTTATTGCTGAATTCCACCAGACATTTAAGGAACTAATACCAATCCTACTCAAGTATTCCGTAAAATAGAGGAGGACAGAATACCTCCAAACTCATTATATGAGGCCAAAACTAGACAAAGACACATTATTCAGCATGGTACTGGAACTCTTAGCTAGATAAATCAGAAGTAAAGAGCATTCAAATTGGAAAGGAAGAAAAAAATACACACAAATCAAACCCACAAATTATTCTTGTTTGCAGATGATATGATCTTATATTTGGAAAAATCTAAAGAATCCACCAAGGAACCTCAAAAATCTACCAAAACCTAAGGAATCCACCAAAAAACTATTAGAACTGATAGGCAAATTCTGTAAAGTTGCAGCATACAGAATCATCATACAAAAATCAGTAGCATTTCTATATGCCAACACAAAAAATAAATGCTTGAAGGGATGAATACTCCCTTTTTCCATGATGTTATTACACCCATTGCATGTCTGTATCAAAATATCTCATGTACCCCCTAAATTCATGTGCCTACTATGAACCCACAAAAATTAATTTTAAAAAGCTAATACAGTACAACCAAGATGTGCAAAGGATACAGAGTCTTTATTTTCTTATTCTTATAAACTCAATCTCTTCCAGATTAAATAACCTGTCTGGTAAATGTTCAGCATTTCAAACTTCCTTCCTCTCTCTTGCTTCTACCAAATATGTCATCTTGGTGTACATGCACTGATGCACCTTCATGGTGGCAAGGGTGGGGGGCATCTGGGATGTCAGTCACCATCTGAGCTCTGGCTGCTTCCAGCCTAGGATAACAGTCTAGTTCATGAAGCGGTATCTGCTAAAGTAAAACTAGACCTGTCTGTCTTTGGAGATGTGCTGGCATTCACTGCTGAGGTCAATAGCAGCAGCCAGTTCTCTCTGATCTTGAACTCTTAGATCTCCCACTGTGCTCTTTCTCTAGTCTCCAGGCCTCTATACAATCTAACCCTACTATCTTACCTCTCAGACCTCTTTCCTGTCATTCATCGCCATGCCCAACCTGCCTCCTTGCTGTTCCACCTCCTGACCCCATCGCTGTTTCTTGAACACACCTAGAATGCTCCCATCTCAAGGCCTTTGTACAGCTATTCCTCTCTCTGGGAGTAATGGCTTGCTCCCTTGCTATATTGGAATCTTTGTTCTTTCTTTGTGACACATTCCCTGACTATCTTATTTAAAACTGAACATCACTCCAGAGCTCCCATATTGCCTTCCTTGCTTTATTTACTTCTTTTTTTTCTTTTCTTTTCTTTTTTTCTATTTTTGAGACCGAGTCTTGCTCTGTCGCCCAGGCTGGAGTGCAGTGGCACGATATCTCGGCTCACTGCAACCTCCATCTCCCAGGCTCAAGTGATTCTCCTGCCTCAGCCTTTCAAGTGGCTGGGACTACAGGTGCAAGCAACTGCATCCGGCAAATTTTTGTATTTTTTTTGTAGAGACAAGGTTTCACCACGTTGCCCAGGCTGGTCTCGAACTCCTGAGCTCAGATGATCCGCATGCCTTGGTCTCGCAAAATGCTGGTATTACAGGCGTAAGCCAACACACATGGCCCTATTTACTTCTTTAGTCCATTAGATTAGATATCATTTGCCTGAAAAATCAGGTTAGCCATTGTTTCAAATGGGCTACTTACCGTCTAATATTTCATATGTCTTATTTATTTGCTTTATTTATTGTTTGTCTCTCTCCTCAAGAATGTAGGCTCACTGTAGATATTAGGGTTGGTAAATAGTGCGGAGGACTCAGAATTATTGTGGTGTTTGCTCCAAGACCTTGGCATTGAATGAAGTGCAACAGAGGTCTAAAATAAGGTCGAGCAGTGAATGGTACAATAAACGGAAGGATTTAAAGTTGGATGGAGTCAGCAACAGCCTTCCCCCATCCATTCATGTTCTCAATCTTTTAGATTTCCATATTTGCCCTCTTATCAGTCTCTACTGGCTTTCATTTTAAAATTCCAAAGGCGCTAACAATTGACAAAGATGTATATTTTTGGTCAAAAATGTATGAAGTGCCTACTAAAATTTTTGCACTAGTGAAGGTAACACTAGCTGCTATAACAAAAGTACTCCAACTATATAGAAGTTTATTTCTTGCTGAGACTACCAATCCCCTGTGATGTACCCAGTTGGCAAATGGGTTTTTCTACACGGGGATTTAAGGACCCAGACATCCTCCATCTTATGGTTCCACCCTTGCTATCAATTACTCAGCATCCAGGTGTGAGGGAAAAGGGAAGGTGGGACAAATATAACATATGTTCAATCACCTTGACCACACACATCACTTTTTCTCACATGCCATTGGTCAGAACTAGATCACAGCACAACTGGATGCAAAGAGCCAAGGAAAATGTAGTTCCTGCCTAGGTTTCTGTTTTCCTGTGACGGTTCTCTACCACGGAAGGAAAAGCATAGAACTTGCTGGACAGTGAGCTTTCTCTCTCATGCCTGCCATATGCTGTACAAGCATTCTCACATTCATCACTTCATTTATTATTAGATCACCCTTAGAAGGTATTATTATCACCCATTATAGCAACATTACACAAAAGAAGAGATTGACACTCAAACAGGCAAACTGACTTCCAAAGACCTTAGAACATTACTTTCTTTGTGGAGATTTGTATTTTTAATACAGCCTTTATTGCCATATAATTCACATACCATACAATTCGCTGAATTAAAGTGTACAATTCCATGGTTTTTAGTATATTCACAGAGTGCAACCATCGCCATGATCAATTTTAGAAAATTTTTATTGTCCCCAAGAGAAACCTTGTACTCATTTTACTACCTATTTCCTCTCTACCTCCTTGTAGCCCTAAGCAATCACTCGTCTACTTTCTGTCTCTATAGATTTGCCTGTCCTGGGCATTAAATATAAATGAGATCTTATGACTTGTGGCCTCTTGTGGCTGGCTTCTTTCACTTAGCATAATGCTCTCAAAGTTCATTCATTCTTTAGCGTGTATCAGTACTTCATTTATTTTTATTGCCTAATAATATTCTACACTTTGTTTACCAATTTTTGGCTATTAGGAATAATGCCACTAGGAACATTTGTGAAAAAGTGGCTGTGCCAGTTTACAATCCCACCAACAGTGTATGAGAGTGTTAATTTCTCCACACCCTCTCCAATATTTATTATTATCTGTCTTTTTCATTTTGGCAAAATTTGCATTTTGAAAGATGACTGTTTCTAGCAAATTCCAGGCCTAGAAATTATGGTTCAGTTCCCCCAGTAAGAATCTAGACAAGGAGTGGCATGAAAAAGTTTAAAGGATGGTTTGTCTTTTATACTCTTTCTTCCAGATACGCCTGCCCTAATCTGCTGGTTTTACTTCATATTCCAGATTTTTCCTGATCATCCTTTTCTTGATACTCCACGATAGATACTTGGGTGCAGAAGTGTTGAGCCATTTGTTTTGACCCAACCATTTTGGCTCTGTGGATGTTCTGACCTGAGAATCTTTTGACCCCTGGGTTTAAGAGTAGAAAGCATTGCATCAGAATTATACTTAGATGGATAAATACTCATTTAAAAAGTACTTTTAGTTCTAATTTCTATTAAGCTACTTTAATTTCTTGATAAAGTTTTTGTATCCCAAGGCACTAAAACATTTCTAATTTTTTTTCCATTTTGACTTTTAATTTACTGAAATTCTTTTCATTGGAATCAATTATTTTCCACATAAGGTTTAAATAAAAATGTTTTTCAATGTGGGGATTTTTTTGGTAGTGTTCATATTAAATTCTTACTGATTATAGTTTCTGCAATTACAAATTTTCTGTTATGGTCATTATTTGTACCAAATTCAATTGTCTTGAGTCAAATTATTCATATTAAACTTAGTAAAAAAGATTGGATTTTTCGGTCAATTTGAAGGCAATCATAAATTTTAACATGTTCCAATTTAGCTGTTCACAGTTTTATTTAGTATTGATTACTTCTGCCAAGTTTAATTTTTTCCTTTTCAATACTTGCATGTTTCAAGACGAGCATCAGCATAATTCTTCAGTCAGGTTTTCATCTCAAACATATGTTACCATGTGTTCTTTTAACTGTTGTCATTGTCTTTTGTGCTGATCATTTCTACCAATAATATTCGGTATGAATTGGATAAAGGACTAATTATTGATTTTTTTTCCTATTTAGCTAATTCATAAGAAAACTGCATGGTTTCCCCCAGCTGTGTCACTATTATTCTGCTGTCTGAAATTTCTCTGTATTGATGACCTAATTCTTCAACATATTTCCAATCAATTTGTGTGTTTAGTACTAACTGCCCATGTGGATAACAGGGCAAAATGCAAATGATGGGATCAGAATATTCTTGGGAAGTCAGCCAGAGAAAGATAAACATCACATATTCTCGCTCATATCAGAGAACTAAAAAAAAAAAAAAAAAAAAACTGGAAAGTTGGGGACCTAATTCTAATAAATTTCAGCATTTGGCTATTAAAGAATGTATATACTTGGTGTCAAATGTTCCTGATTCAAGATATGCTAGGCATTAAAATAATCCAGTGTTACAAAATTAATCTGGTCAATATGTTCTACACCCGACTAATTGTTAGAATTAACTGAGGTACTTCTTTTAAACATACACGTTCCTAATTTACCCCTTTCCATATCTGTCTGTCCCTGGCTAGCAATCTGTCACTTTATAGTCTCCCAGCATCTCTAATATTTTTAAAGTTCCTTCAGTAATTTTAATGTCTATCCACAAAGGTTTGGGAGCCTCCTGGACTAAGCCATACTAGTAGGAGGCTGTTCACATGGATCATGCATATGACCGAATCATCAGGTAATCTGATGGAGTAGGTATGAATGTCAGTCTATAATTCAACACAGGAAAGAAATGGAACTTTATTTTCTGTAATTCAACTTATTTTCTACTTTTGAGATGCCCATCTACCACAGAGAGGAGAATAAGTCCAAGTTAGCCCAAGGTGTCCTTGTTTTGTCCCAGGATGGGTCTGAAGTAGAGAGATAGAGAGGCAGTTTTAGTGACAAGGCATTTCAAGTGGAAGGCTGTTGTGTCACCTGCAGAAGCAGATGACATAACCCACCCAAACGCATGCAGTTTGGATGTCAATACTGATGATGCCACACACATACATCAAAAGAGTATAAAAATGTTTATTAATCACATAATTGAAGTATCTGGGGACAACAGGGCAGGCCTCTCAAGAAAGTCTGAAATGAAAGAGCAAAGAAAGGAGACTGGCCTTGGTTTTTATGATAGCTAAGGAGTGGGGCAGGGGACAAGAGTTCCTACAGGGCAGGCGATTGTGGTTTGGCTGGTACCAAAATTGAAAGCATGAGGCTTTCTTATCAGCTCGTCCAGATGTGGGGCAGAAGGGGAGGAGAGAGAGATGAAGCTTAAAAGCTGTGAGCAGTTGAATATTAAATTATGGAGTCACACTCTTCATCACAAGGGCAAATGCCCTTGATTTTATTTGTCCACACAGAAATTCTCTGAAGAAACCAGAAACCTGTCTGATCCTAGGTCTTTCATAGTAATTATTATGGTGGTTAGAGTTATGAATTAATTACAAAGTCCCAAGAACTGCTGTGTTTTATGTGTATATTTCATTTAATCTTGACTGTAATCTTATGAGACAAGTACTATCATTATTCCACTTAATAGATGAGGGAAGTGAGGCACAGAGGTAAAACATCTGCCTCAGCTGGTAAGAGGCAGAGCTGGGATTCCAACTCAGGCTGTCTGGTTCAGATTCTATACTCTAACCTTTGCATTATACCACTGTTTCCTATCTTCCTGGTCCTTCTCATCCTATCACTACATAATATGACTGAGCTGCTTTGGTGCATGGTACGTTCTTTGAGATGGTCTCTACTTCTTTTTACTTGGGACTCTAATTCTGGAGGCAAGGCTCAGGTCCCTACTCTCCAGAAACAGACTGGCCAGCATTCTAGAATAAATCAAGTGATACTTTCCAGTTGAATAATTTAAGACAATTTCATAAAGAAAATATAGAAAGAGTTTTGGAAAAGCAACAAGAGATGAGATCGGGAGCCATCACCACCCTACACCGCAACCTGAATGAATGAAGGGAGGAAGTGGCCCAGGAACTGAGAAAGTGAGCTGTGTGGAGAGTGCCCTCTCAGAGGAGCTGTGGCTTTCTGAGGAAGAGCATAGCTGTGAAGGCCTGGGAGACATACCCTGACCTGACTTTCTTCTTGTTCTCCAGATCTCTTGCCGGTGCCTTCTACTGGCCAAACCCAATAGAAAAATGGAGGATCAGAGAATTGTTTACGCAGTTTATATGCATCAGCTCCCCTGAGGCACCAGGTAGGGTGAAGGATAGAAAGTATCCTGGGGAAGTAAAATGGAAAATGTCCATTGTAGGCTTATCAATATCTATGCTTTTATCCATCCACCCTCCTCCTCCTCTTTTTTCTATCTCCAGTCCAGGTAAACACACACACACACACACACAGACACACACACACACACATTTGGACAGGAAGCTGGTAGGGTCAGGGAGCTCTTTCTCTCTCTTTACCCCCAAGCCCTCTTTTGTCCATTTGTTAAGAGCCCACTCAACTGCAAATACTAAGTAGCTCCCATATATTGGCTTAAACACAAGATTGTGTCATATGACCACCCAGGACGAGATGAGTATGTGCCCAGCAAGTAGTTTTAGCTGGTATAATTGGAATTCTCCTTAAAAGGACAGAGGAAACATGTATTAGGTAGGCAGCTATCAGTGCTTGGCATTCTTGCTATTTTATTTATATAAGAAATCCCCTCTGTTCCCTTAACTGCTCAGGCCTTTGGAAATCAAACCCAGGAGACTTACAGGCTTTCTGACATATGATATATATATATTATATGATATATATGATATATATATCTCAGATATATATATATTATATATATATCTGAGATATATATATATCATTGATGTAGAGTTGAATACATGGCTGTGTAGCTAGTCCCTATGTCTCAGAGCTTCTTCCAGCTTGGTATGACTATTTGATCATCTCACCAACAGATTGGTGCATAAGTGATGTGTGCCCCTTTGATCTGGGCCTTAAGACACTGGACATATGCTTCTGACAACTTCTTCCCCTTTTTACAGTTTAAAAGCTATCTATGATCAGCTTTGGCTATGCCGTATGGAATAATAAACCAACAAGGTAACATATCACTAAATGTCTTCATGGATGAAAGACATGCCCAAATCTGGATTGTTAAACCCAGCACTATTATGAGAAAGGCCTAAGAACTTCTTTGTTCTATAAGCAACTGCCATTTAGGGTCTCTTTGTTATATTATTTGTCCTATCTAATACAGCTTCTGTCCCAAATATGCTTTTCCTGGATGGTAACTGCCTTATGCAAAGCTGTACTGAGTTTATTTGTAATATTTTCCCAAAGCTCCACAAAGTCAGTGGTTGTGAATTCTTGCCTCTCATGTCTACTTGACATTTCCTATTTTCTGAGAATTTTCTTCCTTCTTCAAGCACTGGTTCCAGCCCTCTCACCCCCATCCATAAAGTTCAGATGGACATAGAGGGATTGTTCTTGTGAATTAGCACTATTGTTTGGGAAATCTAGATTTTACCAACAATGAAGATGAACAATTAGGAGTTAGGTCATGTGCAAGAGGGATATGGGGGAACAGCCAAAGGAGACTATGACACACAAAGGCCACAGTGGAAAATTTTCACCACCTTTTCTATAGGTCAGTGGGGAGCTTGATTTGTCATTTAACCAAATCTTGATTTGTTCGCAAGACTATACCACTCACTCAAGACTATACCACTCAAGTGGTATAGTCTCAGGTTCACTGGTGATGACAGCTATCAGGGCTTTTTCAAAGTAATTATACCTCTCTTTCCTGTCTTTCTGATGAAATTTTGCCAAATAATTGAATTTTAATGATTTCTCAAGTGAGGGTGCAGAAAAAAATTAAAATGTTACAGAGAATACAAGGAATGAATATCAAGGTAAGTACTGACAGGTGATAGGGTTTGGCTGTGTGTCCCCACCCAAATCTCATCTTGAATTGTACTCCCATAATTCCCACATGTTGTCAGAGGAACCCGGTGGGTGGTAGTTGAATCATGAAGTCAGGTCTTTCCCGTGCTGTTCTCACTATAGTGAATAAGTCTCACAAGATCTGATGATTTTATAAGGTGGAGTTTCCCTGAACAAGCGCTCTCTTTGCCTGCCACCATCCACGTAAGACGTGACTTGCTCCTCCTTGCCTTCTGCCATGATTGTGAGGCCTCTTCAGCCATGTGGACACAGTAGTAAGGACACATTCATAACCACATAAGGTGAGTAATGAAATGAAATCCACTTTCAGATTCAAGTTCAAAAGGGGGTCTAAAGTTTTGGCTTGTGTCCATGTCCCAGCTTTATAATTTCCCTGAAATGGTAGGCTTGACAGATAGGAAATGCACCAAAGATGTGCTCTACAATCCTATTGAAGTATCTCCACCAACACTTATTTATTATAGTTTTTAAATTTTCCTTTCCATGATGGGTGCATATAACATCTTTTGGGAGGCCCAGTTCAGCATCCTGAGCAAACCAAGAGACCATCTTGGTGCCACCACAGCTATCTGAGATGGGAAAACAATTTTATCTTTTCCAATACACTTCTTCAGAACCAAGTGTTTGATACTGGAGTCAATTCAAGACCAGATGCCAATAGTCAGGAGTTACTTTTGGCTTTGAATCTTGGACAGCCTGGAAGTGTTAAAGCAGCTCATTTAGTACTGCATAGTAATCTGCTCAAGCATTAGCCTTTGTTTCTTCAGTCTGCTTTTTACTATGAACTCAACCTTAATACAGCCAATTCCTTTGGAAGAAACAAGGCATATAATAGGATTTTTATGTGACTGCCATGTTTAATGGGAATACCAGATGCAGTTAAGAAACCTCATTGTTCCCAAAGCATACCAAGATTCATGAACCACCCCAAAAGCATATTTGCTATCTGTATAGATGTTCGCTCTCTTATATCTACCTAACAGGCAGGCTGAAGTAAGTGCTACAATTGTAGCAACTTGCAGAGATTTGGCCTCTTTGGAAGGATAATATCGAAGTAAGTCTGAATGGGTTTTGATTACATGTGCTTGATAGCTTCCTTGTTCAGTTCTCGAATAGACTCCATCCATAAACAGTTCTAAATCTGGGTTGTCTAAAAGAATTTTAAAGAGATCAGAGAAAGGCCAGAAAAACTGTTGCCTAAGTACATGACAGTAATGAGATTCTCTCTCCTATGGGAGAGAGACAAAGCTTGGGGGTTTTAGGGGATACAGAGATGAATAGAAATATGTATGGATGAAAAGAGAAAAATTTCTCAGGTTAATCTAGAAGCAAAGAAGCATTGGGTGCTTTCAGTTATGAGTAAGGTCTGAATGATATGAGGGACCATAAGGTTAAGGTGGAGATCTTAGGACTAGGTCAGCAGAAGCCTCATTTAACTGTGCTGTTGTTGCCACTACACACACAGAGCTAGGCTTCTGCCATCAGCAAAGTCAGAGGTTATTATAAATGTCAGATGTCTGATACTTATCATACTGTTAGGTTAGAACCGCAGAAGCTTCTTCATATCTTTCATGTGCAAAGAGAAAGAAAGGTCTATCGTAACTGGGAATCCTAAGCATAGGCACTTTTGAAGGATATTTTTTAAGTTACAGAAGGCTCTAGTGAGTCTGGCCCAGATAAAAGCTCAGATACTGGGAAATCAATCTCTGCCAAGATCAAATAATTTTCTTCCATGAATTTTCAGAAAAAGGCTCTCTATCCCACATTTAAGAGTGACACCCATTTGCAAAGTAGGTCTTTCTACAACAGATCCTACAGAGTGAAATCACTACACAGAAAAATATGTTGACTAGTAAGAGGAATATTTGAGATTCCGACCACTGAAAACTTTGGTTGCTCCAAGGAAAGAATGATGGAAAGTTGGCAAGGTTTATGGTAGACTGTGCAGTCCTGGCAGCAACTGAAAAAGGAACTTGCTAGGTTTTTTTGCAATTGCTTGAAAAGTTCTCCCTTTCGTTTTAAGGGAAATTGCGGACAAACCAGAGGACCCACTTACTCAAAAAGGGTCAATCTATCACACAAAATTTTCTCATCTTTTAAGATTCTGCCTTTCAAGTTAAAGTGGAGCAAGTGTTTTCCCAACATCCTTTTTCTTATGGGTCTTCTTCACAGTGTCTTTGTCTAGACTAGCTATAGAGATGTTCCTTTTATTGGGTTTATCTAATAGTTTAATCTGAAGACCTATTAATTTGGTCTGTACATTTTTTTCTGAGTCAAAGTGTTTTCACAGTGCTCATCAAGCTCTTGTAATTCAGAGATGTGGCAGCCTGCATTCTATCTTGTTTTCTAACTAAATCTGTTACCTCAGGTTTAAGACCATCAGTAAAGAAGGTGGTTAGGGCAGTTGTCATGTCTTCACTCCTATTGAGGACATAGTATTCTGAGAGGTGGTAATTAAGCTGTCTCAGAAATCAGGAATGAATCTATTTTTGCCCTTCTTACATAACTGGATTTTTTCAGGGAATCTTACACTATAAATTCCT
Organism: Homo sapiens; assembly: GCF_000001405.40. NCBI lineage: Eukaryota > Metazoa > Chordata > Mammalia > Primates > Hominidae > Homo > Homo sapiens. The sequence continues at coordinate 71,241,782 of NC_000012.12, forward strand.
AAGATAACATTTAAATTCTGTCTTTCCTTAGGAGGGACTGGAAAGTCCTTAGCTACATTATAAAAATCTTGACCATTTCCATTTCTATTGAAATATATTACAAAGGATATTCTCCAGTAAGAGGGCTATATTTAGCAAGAGGCAGTAGAGGATAAGAAAGGAGGTTGAGAGAAGGTACAGGGGAGGGAGAAAGTTGAAATACAGGAGAGTAGGAGGAAAGCCAATGCAAAGATGGGTTAGAAGAGGAAAAATAAGACTTTAAGTTTAGATTTTAGATTATCCCTGTTTCTACTAGCTTTTTCTAAGGAGCTCTTAGGAGAAGCAATTTTAGAATTTTGCTGTCCTTTAGAGTTGTTTTTTCTTTTTTTTACTTTAAGAGACCTCTTCATACCACTTAAAAACACTGACCATTGAATATTCGAAATCTTTAAAACATTCCATACAAATGGATTATTTTATTCACATCTCAAGTTCCTCAAAGTGGCCACTAAAGTTCTAAGCTATTCTTGAGAAAATCCTGCCAGAGTTTTCAATGGCTGGTGCTATTGGCTCTATAACATTAAACCCATATTTAAATGACCTGAAAAACAAACTCTCCTTAATGCTATACAAAGCAAATTTCAATGAGTAGAATAAATCAAACCAATAGGTGTATAGCAAGAACAACAAAGAAAAAAATAATAAAGGCTCAGGAGATACTTTAAGGCCGAGAGAGCCAGGCACTGGTCTGGTCCACGGAAGACTCACTCCTCTTTTAAGTGACCCAAGCTAAACAATAGGTCTAAACAGCAAAACTATGGAAGAAAATCAACCAAAGGGTCAACAAGTCTTCGAAGGAGCATTCTAACTTGGAGAAGGATGATAGAAAGTTTTGCATGGCTTTAGCAGGATGAAGCTGGCTGAAGTTCAGCTAGACTTAGCAGAAGGGGGATTGGCTGAGGTCCAGGTAGTTTCAGAAATAGAAATAGAGGGATTGTTCTTGTGGAGTAAAAGCCATTGTTTCAGCAATCTGGATTTTATTGAAAGGGGTGAATAGCAAGAATTGGGGGTTACAGTCATGAGCAAGAGAGAATAAGGAAAGACAGTTGTGGAGTAAGGGCAAGGCTACAAGAACTTGTAAAAGCCACAGTGGAAAATTCTCAGGTCACAAGTAGTTAGGGGTCTCTCACATACAATAGCAGTAAAACTTGTGTTTTCCCAGGGGACTTCAATGCGTTCATTCAAAGTAATTTCCAGCAAAGTGACAATGTCAGTGTGGGAAATGTCTTGTAGCAGAACTTCCTTGACCAAGCTTTATTAAGCTTCTGAATGAGGCTGTAGATTGAGGGATTCTGGGAGAATAGAAGGAACATTTCTTGTGATTGCCCCCTCCTCTTTTTACATGTGAAAATTCAGATTTGTGCAGAATTAAGCAGAGTGAAATTGAAATGGAAAGAGGTAAACCCAATGGATCCCTTTCTCCATACTACTGCATATCCAGATAAATATAAAAACTTTTTAGGATTTAGCAGTATTCTCTTATTCTATCAAGAGATCCCAGGATAATAAAGCATAATTTTGAGAAAGAGAATTCAAAGTACTTAGATGTTTGCTTATTTTGGTTTAGGGGAATGCTGGCACCCTTGAAAGATCAGCCATTAACTATGTGACATTGGAATGCAAGTCAAGTGGGATAAAAGCATTGGTTCTTCTGACATAAACTTCAGCAGCATATAACTTTCTTACGACACTTCAGCCTTTTTTTCCCTTCCTATCTTGGATAGAAATAAGTAAAAAGATATGACCAAAAGAAGAAATAACATTAAAAAGATTTTTCAGATGCTTTAAAATCCTGGGAAGTATTCAATTCTTGTTAGACCTAAGGTTGGAATTAGTCCACTTATTTTTTTTTCTCTGAATCATACAGCTGGTTCCTGAATTGAATGTTCATCCATGCCCTGTGAACAAGTTCCACCACAGTTAGAGGTGAAATTATTGGAGAAGTTTCCATAAATCTGAGTCACTGAAGGGAAATAATGTTACTTTGGTCCTTTGCTCCTCTTTATGATTAAAAAAAATTGTAAGAAAAGCCTCGTTTTTGCCCTAAATTCAAAGCATGTTATAACAGTTATGTATCTTGGCAAAACTGCCTTATTTAAGTAACTACTTATTCCAACTTTGAAACAAATGTAGGCTAACATGCTGTAGGTGTTACGTGTCTGTACTTAAGAGTCTCATGAAATATAAAACCCATTCACTATTAAATTTAAGTTTTATTTGAGGTTTATTTAACTTTTTTTCAATGTGCATGGAGTTTATGAAAAGGAACTTTGTACAAACCATTCATTTAATTGCTTTTGATTGCTTTGTTGGTTCACCATGTACCAGGCATGACAGTGTTTTGTGTTAAGAAAGTACAGTATTGAAACAGCAGAGAAACTATTGTCATAGTTTAATACAGAACTTGTCAGGGCCAGTACACTGATGTTCATTATTTCATGCAGGTATCCCTGAAAATGCTTTTGATTAATTATGTACTTTTTTGCACCATTTGGTTCTTTCAGAATGTACATATTTTTTCTCTTCATTTGCCAGTTAATTACTACATTCTGTTGAGGGAAATAGTTAGAACAACATTTTTTAGTTTACAGTAACTTTTTTCAGAAACATAAACTATAGAAATTCTTTAATTTTCAGTACTATACGTTTAAAATTATAAAGAGACAGTTACCATTTTCTGTACCTAAGAGTTTGCTTAAGAGAACTCAATTTAAAAACACTATGTCAAGTAAGCATCTAGCATTGTAATGAATTCTATAGATACATTTTTTCAAAGATAAGATTAGCTTATCAGTTTTTTCTGACAAAGATACTTAGAAAAAAATACAAGAGAAATTTAAAAAATAAGATTTTAAGAATGTGTTAAACTGGGAGTTTGGTTAAGCTTTATTTAAAGTTGTTACATAAATTTTATCTTCCATTGCTCTCCCTATCTTTCTTAGTATGATTTTCTCTCAATTGTGGATACACTTGTATAAAATTCTATAAAGCAATTCACATTGAGATACTCTTGATTGAAATCACTAAATATTCGTTGAACATCTCCCCACTGACCTAACACTGTGCTTGGGACTATAAGATTGCCTTCTTTAATCTTCAGACTATCCCCCAAAGTATTGGCATTATCAGCACACTTGTCAAGAATAGAGGATCCCAGACCAACTAAATTGTAATCTTCATGTTAACATAATTCTTGAGTGACTTGTAAGCACATTGAAATTTGAGACACAATGGTCTAGAGCAGTGATTCTTAAACTTTAATCAGATTCACCTGAGGGGTTTGTTATGGGTCTATACTTGAAGAATCTCCGGTCTAAAGTGATAAAAGAGGCCAAAAGTTATCTTTGTCTTTAATAATTGTATTATATAGCTGAGAAGAAAATTTTTCACACATCGAATAATTAGAGAGCAATTGAATGCTTATCTGTGTGCCTTTGACTTTCTCTTTTGAGAAGGGGAAGATTAATGTGGTGTTAGCTTGTCAGGAAAAATTCCATTACCTGGGAAAGTTATGGTACCACAGATGGAATTGAGAAAGGTGGAAAGTATGGCAAATTTTTAAGAGAAAAAGATATGTTTAAAGAGGCTGATAGGCCATCAAAGAAAGTGCATACCAATGGCAGCTGGAACTACATGAGCCTAGCACAGCTAAAGCTAAGATTAAAAGTCTGTAAGCATCTTGAGGGCAGGAACCTTACCTTGTTCACTTTTCTAGTTTCAGTACTAATGATGTACCTGACACACAGTAGGTGTTTAATGCTTTCTGTGGACTTAATTAATAAATCAATTTAGATGTGATCCTTAAAGCCATACCTGTTATAAATATTCTCACTCAGATGCATTTAATGTGGTCTTGAAAGAAGACCACAGCCATAACCAAAAGGCTTAACCCCAAATCAGAAATCTTTAATAGTGGATTTTCAGGTCCAAAAGTAGCCGGAAGAAAAGTACTTTTGGTAGAAGATATTTAATTTATGACACAGCCTATAATGATGCTAGTATACAGGAAACTATATATATATGCATTCTAGTTGGTTTTTGAAAATTGCTTGTTATTCGTTATCTTAGAAAAAATATTGTTAGCAATCTTAAATACCCCTGAATGCCTTTTAAAATGAAATTAAACTTTATTATTTTCCAATTATCTTATCAAAATGTACTAGGTACTACTGTATGCAAAGTCTCTTCTATGCAAAGAAAAACCTATTTACTGTAGGAAATTTTATAGAGAGAAACATGCTATCTAGCCAGTTCTTCTACAAGCAGCTATCATATCTCTCGATTTCCAGTCTTTATTTCTGGATTTCCAGTCTTTATTTCTGGAGCCCAGTTTATATACACAATGTTGAGTTTGCTTTACTGCTACCATTCACAGAGAGAATTTAACTACAATTAACTGAAGTCAATGTCAGGTATTCCATTTCTGTTATCTCATCCTTTGATTTTAAGGTAATATTTTACTGACTTTGTGATCTTGTGATATGATGTGACATTGCGTCTGGGTCATTCAAAGTATCTAAATGATGAGACAATATGTGATTCAGCTTACAAAAGAGTAGAAAAAGAGGTAAAATGAAGAGAGAGTCATAGCATCTTCTCTCACTGACACATGACAGATGAATCACAAACAATTTCAAAAAGCCAGCTTGTATTTATGTGCTTCTTCCATATGTATCATACTTTACTGTTTTATAAGCCTGCTGTAGTACATAAACAACCTGTGTAAAAGTTCAATTAAACTTAAATCTCTTTCTAGGGGTTTCTGAATTGGTAAACAGCTTTTTTCTCTACCCTGTTACAATGAGGCAATTTTAACACTTACAAATACCTACCATATAAACCCCACATAAATATGAATGAATATCCCCTGCTACCTTCTGAACCAGACTCCCCCTTTCCTATTGCTTGGGAGATATTACCAGAAAAAGCTGGGGCTCTTAAATACTTTATAGTGTAAAGATAAAAAAAATTTTTAAACTTTGGAAAATAAAAGTAGCGTAGGGCAGCTAACCCTAACTGTTTTCTTCATAAGGATGACATTAATCATAGATTCACTTAGATTAGGAAAGCATCTCCTTTTTAAAATGTTAACACTATTGTGAAGGTTATGTGACTATTTGATAACTGCATATTAGTGTAACTTGTTTAGCCCAATTGCTTTCCTTTTAATGATGGTTAAGGTGAATTGCACTCAGCATTGGGAGTTTTGACTGGATTAAGGGAGGCAGGTAACCATGGTATATGGGGCCATGGGGGCCATGGGAATCAAATATTAATAGCACATTGCAGTGAAGCACTTCTTAGGGTAACAAAATTATGAAGGATTGGAACTAGACAGCAGGAGAGAGATGTACAAAGCAAGGTGAGGCCAAAATTAAATTTCATGTGTTTCTAAATTTTGTTTTGTTAATACAAATATAGGAAAATAAATTTTTTTGTTTTCTCCTTCACATACCCCCAAAGACCTTCTCTCTTTGGATTCAGAAGTGTGGTTAGTATTCATTTAAAAAATTGTCTTGTCTGTCTTTGGTTGGTAAGTTTTTGAATGTTCAATCAATCATTTTGAACTTGTATTTCTCAACAACATGCCCATTCTCTATCTTAACTACTTTATGTACAAAAAGCTCCCTTTCCACAGTATTTTTACTTCACAGTATAATGAAGTGATACACACGGAGGCTGGGAAGATAGTTGTCTGGATGTACATACATTTAGAAACTTCAAACCCCCATGACAACTGTAAGGATTTTAATAATAAACATCTAGTTACAAAATTGATAAGATTGGGCTCTACCATGAGTTTTCCATCACTACCCAAGGTCACCAGAATAGTGTGATGTTTCCAGTCTAAGCCCTGAGGTTATAAAAAGTTTCAAACTTTTAAGATGGATTAAAATAAGTTGCATTGCTTTGAAAATTAATTTAACAGGAGCCAATTATACATGAGATAAGTTTCCTTCCCAGTACCTCACCCCACTCCCACCCCTGAAATATATTGAACCAATCATTTTACTCAAAGAGGTGTTGGTGTTATTGAAAATTGCCTTAACCCCAGGGGAAAGCTAGGTATAAACTTTGTTCCTCTGAAAATCAGAAGCTCATTTTAAACCATGTCAGATGATCTCACTACACCATACAGACTATCTTGCCTGTGGCTCATTGCCTATTGCCTGCTGAGTTTAGCTG